>NC_000003.12:194460571-194611571 GCF_000001405.40 Homo sapiens
CTTCATCTATTATTTCGAATAAAGTATACACAAAGACATTGTTTTACTCCTTAAATAATCAGCTACAAGTAAACACATAAACTTACAGTAGTCCTCAGCAGCACTACTTCACAGTCTTTAATTGCAGCTCTGACACAGGTCGCTTTCACCCGCCACTCAGGCATCCAATAGAGGAGGAGGAGGAGAAACCCACCAGAGCAAATCACTCCTAAAGAAACTATGGCAAGCTTCCAGCGACTCAAATTGTAACCATAAATCTCCTGCATGGACACAGCGATCACATGATTAATTATCAAATGATAAAATGATATGGCAGAGAAACACATTCCAAAGTTCTTTGTTTTCCAGATAGGTATTTATTGTCTTGTCACATAAACTGTAAATATTTTCCAATCCATAATTTACCTTTAAATTTTGTTTCTGACCAGTTTACTGTCAGTTATATTTTAAGTAAATTTGTTGGTATTTACACTTTGATTTTATATTTAATTTATGCCTAATACGTTCTTTCCCACTGATATAGTAAATTCATATTTAGTACACTTCCCTAGAATGTTTGCAATTTCATTGTTACATATCTTTTTAATTCTTCTTGAATTTATCTTGTTATGAGGTGGGCTTTTTTTTTAAATAAACATTTTATTTTGAAATAAATTTTAGATTTATAGAAAAGTTGCAAAAATATTATGAAGTTCCTGTACATCCTTTGTGCAGTTTCCCCTAATGTTTTAACATTTCCTGGTACATTTGTTAAGAATTAATAGATTAACACTGCTGTATTACTATTAACTAAACTCAGTTTTAGGATTTCACTAGTTTTCCACTAACATGTTATTTCTGTTGCACAATATAATCGAGAGTATCACAGTACATTTGGACGAATAGATTTTAATCTACTATTTCCCAAATGATTTACTAATTGTCCCAATACCACTGCGACTAATCAATTTGATCCACTGACAAACTGTCTCATAGTTTCAGGTGAGCCCCCCAACAAGCGTTGCCAGATTTAATAAATGAAAATGCAGGTGGCCCACTTAAATTTAAATTTCAAATAATCTTTTTGTCTGTCCCATGCAACATTTGGACATATTTATACTAAAAATTTCTCCCTTCATTATGTGACTTTTACATTTAACAGGGCATCTTATACTTCACCTGACATCTTTCTGGCTCCCCCCAACAAAAAGTAGAGAAGTTGAAGTTGGCTTTTTTTATTAAGCTGATTTTAGAAAATTTTTGTAAGTCAAAATTAGAAATCTTTATTTGGGATTGTATTTAAATCTTTTATTTAGGATTATATTAGCCAATGTTACCTCTTAAATCACCAAATGCAAAAACATACTTCTTCTCAGTTTTAACAGACCACAGGTAAAAAAAGAATTATACTAAAAGCAACTAATAGACATATTACACAATCCCAATTCAAAAGCACAGGATGAAGAAAGAAGCCCATTGAGTTAGCTGCTGCCGCCACTGTTGTTAATTGCATTTTTCTAGTCCCTAAAATAATAAATTGCAGAGATAAAGTCTTCACACATCACCAGTAAATTAGAACAGCTGGTTACCATTTCATCTTCTTGACCCTGATTGATGGTCTTCCTTTCTTCCCTGTCCATACCTACAGTGGATTAAAGGTCCAGTGCTTCAAACAATGGAAGATCACTGAGGGAAGAAAGGGAACAGACGTTAGGGAACTATCTTCTATCTTAGTAGACGATACAACTGCATTCTATCAACTGTCTATTATACAAGGGGTCCCCAACCCCTGGGTCACGGACCTGTTAGGAACAGGGCCACACAGTAGGAGGTGAGTGACAGGCAAGCAAGCATTACTGCCCCAGCTCTACCTCCCATCAGATCAACAGAGGCATTAGATTCTCATAGGAGCACAAACCCTACTGTGAACTGCGCGTGCAAGGGATCTAGGGTGCGTGCTCCTTATGAGAATCTAATGCCTGATGATCTGAGACTGAACAGTTTCATCCCGAAACCATCCCTCCCCACCCGTAACTGTCTTCCATGAAACCAGTCCCTGGTGCCAAAAAGGTTGGGGACCACTGTTTTATACCATCGAAGTGTTCTTTTAATATTTAATAAGATTTTGTTTAAATTTGAATTCTTCCAAAGTAGTGATGTATTCATCACTTGCTCATGGGATGTATCAAACTTTAGATGACCCTTAAGTAGTTTCTAAAGTGCTAGCTGGTTCTAATGACATTTTCAATGGGATACCAGTGCTTGAATCTGTATTACTTAACTACCACAAAACATGGCATATTTCATTAATTCATTTAGACTAGCAACTACTGTGATACAGGACAATTTATATTGAGAGGAACTACTAACAGAGTCTTCCTTTTTCATTCCACAGATTCAGAAGTAGTGTAGTTTAACCATCTTGAGCTAAAAGTACTTCACACAACTCAAAATTATTCACTGTAGCATAGTAAAGAGCTATGGCACTAGCAATGAAACCAAGCCAAAAACTTCTCAGAGATTATTAATCATCCAATAAATATTTACTAAGCACCAATTACATAAATGGCAATCCCTGGCCAAAAGTCAATCGCTATGGCAGGTTTACTCCTACTGGAGAGCACTCAGCTGACTCCATCATTCGATTCCAAGTCCACTGGGCAACCTTCTGATTATTCCTGACTACCTACAAAACTTGTCCAGGGAAAAAATTCATTGAGCCCACTGACATATTTTTCCTTTTTTTTTTTTTTTGTATTTCAAATATTAAACATTCAGCTACACATTAAAGAAATTTGCAAGATGTAAAACGATGCCAGTTTTCTAACTTTTTGTTTTTTTAGAAAATATCTTCCAAAAATGTTACTTAAAATATAATTTTATTTTTGTAATAAATATTTGAAATATCAGTTTTAATTCATATATGGTATCAATAGCTATAGTCCACATAAATAAAAGCTCTTTAGCATCCACAAAAATTTTCAAGAAGGTAAATGGGTTTCAGCCCCCCGAGTGTGATAACCACTGCTTTACATGAGGCTGATCTCACAGTAGGACTATTACTGCCTTCGTTTCAGATCCCATACCTCTACTCATCTACCCAGTGCACAGCAGGCTTGACACACGCTAGGCACTCAAAAATGCTTACTGAATAAATGACCTGATTTAAAAAATGTGCACTAAGTAACAATACCTATTTATTTTAAGATGATATAAATTAACAGCCAAGTAAAAACCAAATGCAGAATTTTAAAGTAACCCCATACATAAAGATTGTTGAAACTTCTTGGTGTTCTATCATAAAGCAACCAATAAGAGGGGTCTATCTGCCCAGCGTGGTGGCTCACGCCTGTAATCCCAGCGCTCTGGGAGGCCAAGGCAGGCAGATCACCTGAGGTCAGGAGTTCAAGACCAGCCTGGCCAACATGGTGAAAAACCCCATCTTTACAAAAATACAAAAATTAGCCGGGCATGATGGCGGGTGCCTGTAATCCCAGCTACTCAGGAGGCTGAGGTGAGAGAATTGCTTGAACCCAGGAGGCGGAGGTTGTAGTAAGCTGAGATCACCTCACTGCACTCCAGCCTGGGCGACAGAGAAAGACTCCATCTCAAAAAAGAGAAGGGTCTGTCTGTACAGTTACTTACGTCGTTTTAATAATTTCACTCCTAACTACGACATTCTTATCAAATATGTGAATACATAAACATTGGTGCAAAAATAAATAACCAGTAAGATACTGAACTCAGTGCCATTGTGGAAAAGGAGAAACCTTACACACTATCGGGTCCGACTTCCTCTAAACAAGCCGTATGACCACACAAAACCTTTTGGGCATGGTAACAAGATCTTCTCCACCTAGGGCAGTGTAATGGTCCTAGAGCATATTACCAGAGTTATTCCACCATAATAATGTTCCATAAAATCAAAGCACTTTTGGGTGGCAGTTATTTTCAAGGGCTGTGCCTGCTACTATAGACTATGGTGAGAATAAGCCCAACCTCTTTCCCTGTAGAGAAGATCGGCTATCATCACCTGAATGTGTAAAGTAATAACACCGTACAGGCCTACTATCAAAGGATAAACCAAAGACCTTTTGCTCTGACACTGTCCCTGCTAAAGAATACTAGTCTGAGGTTCTTAACCTTTAGCCTGTGATTCTTCCTTAAGGGCTCAAAAATGAACCTTGTAGTCATCACTCAGTAGTCACCGGGGTCTGTTTTGGTTTGGGTTTGTTAGTTTTCTTTAAATAGAGACAGGGTCTCACTATGTTGCCCAGGCTGGTTTAGAACTCCTGGGCTCAGGCAATCCTCCCACCTCAGCCTCCCAAAATGCTGAGACTGCAGGAATGAGCCACCACATCCCATGGGGTCATTTTTGATAACCAATTCTGATCTCCAGTTCCAATCACCACCACCTAAAATATGCTTCCTCAGGGAAGGATTACTTCACATTCTCATATGGAGACTTCTGCTTCCAACCAAGTTGAGACAAAAGGGATCATATTTGCCCTTCTGCCCTAAAGCAACAACAAAATACATAATGGTTTTCAAGGAACTGGACATCAGGCAATGAAGAAAACTGATAATTGAGAGATTAAAAAAACAAACTAGGTAAGCCCTACAACTGTCCCAGTTTACTGATGGAAAACACTTTACAGGTCACAAAAAAAGGGAGGACAGGGAACTCAGAGGGAGCCCAGCAGTTTCCCTGAGTTTGGGAGATGAAACTGGAAGTCTGGGGAAGCACCAAAGCAATGAGGTTTGCTGGTCAGATCACCAGAAGAGAGTCTGACCCACTAAGAACACGACTGACCTGCAAGATGGACTCCCTCAAGCCTTCAGCTGCGTACCGCTCAGCACTTGTGTGTGAAGAAACTACCGAAGGCCAGGGAAAGAACCACCCAAAATGATTAAGGGAATTAAACCACCAGGGCTCACAAAAGGCTGGGAATCGTACCCATTTTTACCAACCACAATGGAAAACCCCATTAGCCACAAGGAATCAGGAAGGGTATTCGGGTTTTTGCTTTAGTTAGCGGGATAAAATTTGCCTCAAACAAAAACTGCTCTGGTACTGCCTAACAAAGCTTAAACATAAGACCTGAAATAATACAACTGTTTTCAAGTAAATAAATCTAGGCGCAGGCTCACGTTTGTAATCCCAGCTCTTTGGGAGGCTGGTGCGGGCAGATCACCTGAGGCCAAAAGTTCAAGACCAGCCTGGCCAACATGGTGAAACCCCATCTCTACTAAAAACACACACACACACACACACACAAAAATTAGCCAGGGGTGGTGGTGCATGCCTGTAGTCCCAGCTACTCAGGAGGGTGAGGCAGGAGAATCGCTTGAATCCCAGAGGCGGAAGCTACAGTGAGCCAAGATCACGCCACTGCACTCCAGCCTAGGCAACACAGTGAGGCTCCACCTCAAAAAAAAAAAAATTATAAACTTTTAAAACACCAATGGGTCAAAGTCATCAAAGTGGAAAATACAAAGTATTCTGAACTGAATAAAAATGATATATTGAAATGTGTAACATGCCACTAAAACAGTACTTAGAAAAAAATTTATAGCACTAAATTCCAGTATCTGAGAGAAGAAAGGTCATGACCTCAGCTTCCACCTTAAGAAAAGCAGAGAAAGAATAGCAAATTACTCCCAGAGTAACCGCTATAGGGAAATAAAATTCAGAGAAAAAAATCAATGAAATAAAAAAACAGAAAGAGGAAACGTCACTGAAACCAAAAAGGCTGGTTCTTTGAAATCCATAAAATTGTTAACTGCTACCTCGACTCATCAAAATGAAAGAAAACGGGGAGGAGAGATGCAAATTACCAGTATCAGTAATAAGCAGATATACCACAAAAGATTCTGCAAGTATCAGAAGACTAATCAAGGAACTTAATAAGCAACTTGACACTGATACACCAACTTTTTTGTAGGTTTAAAGTTACTTCAAAATTAAAATTTTTTAAATTAAAAAACCCATCTTTATTGACCAGGGGATGGCCATGAGTTTGATAACTGCTAAAGCAAAGTTAAAAGCTGAGTGAATGGATACATGAGAGTCCATTATACTAGTCTTTCTACTTTTTAATGTGTAGAAATTGTTGATAATAGAAAAGGTTTTCAGAAAATTAAAAATTAAACAGCTGGGTGCAGTGGTGCATGCCTATAGTCTCAGCTACTCAGGAGGCTGAAATGAGAGAACCACTTGAGCCCAAAAGTTTGAGTCCAGCCTGGGCAGAACAGTGAGACTCCATCACTAAAAAAATAAAAATAAAAAATTTAAAAATTAATTCCCACCCATCTGAAGCTTTTAGACAGAAGAAAACTTTCAGAAGACATTTATTTCTGGCACAGAGGGCCACGAATATTAAGGACTCTGCCTCTGGGGCACTGACTCAAAAGTCCACTGACTCAATCTACTATGTGCCAGGTATTATCCATAAACTCAATTCACCAAACTTCTGTTGGTTTTTGAATCTTACTCTTCTTCACCCTTGTCTTTCATCAATTTCCCACAAACCTACAGACTTCCCACTCCTGTAAATCCAAATTTTTCAATGTAGAATGTATGTATAAATAGATGAATAAGCATGTTTTATAACTTTAGAAAGGAACTGCCGTTAAAATCCAATGTTTTCATTAAGCCCATGTACTTTTAACTATTTAAAACTTTTTCTCCATCTATAGAAGGAGTTCATTCACCTTAGTTCAGCATAATAATATTTTTCACTTCATCTTCTACAGTTAGACCACATAAAGAACTCTTCCAATTAATTATTTTTAAATGAGCTTATTATAGGCAGTTCACTGCCTATAGCAATCTATTTTCATACTTTTCAAAATACAATTTTTTAACCATATTACACCATTACTCTTTTTATGAGTGTAATTTCTCTAAAACGTAGTTGTTTTTTAAAGCAAATTAAGTCTTAGCAAATTTTACCAAAGTGCTAAAAATAAACAATTCAAATAAAAAGTTGCTCTAAAAACCTCCAATTAATTATTCACTTTGAATATATTATACACCTCAAAGGAAATTACCCAAGAATTCACTTTTCACATAAACTTTTAGTCAACTCCAATGCGACAACTCCAACAGCTCTTACATTTAGAACATATGTATGTTAAAAACATATTTAAATTTTAAATGTACATAAGTAAAAGCCCTGATTATTTCAATGACTGAGAGGATAAAAAACCACATAAACATATTTAAAATACACTGCTTATCAAGATAAAAATACATATTAAATACAATTCTACTATATATCTAATCAGACATTTGAAGCATTAATACCAAATTGATAAACCCATTACTTACAGAAATATAACTTTTCTGGACTGCTGGAGCACACGTTTTTTAACCAAGTCAAATTCGATATCAGAGAAAACAAATTGAAGAAATTTTTCTTACCAGTAGCACTATATCATCATTCTTCCCAATTCCTGATATTTGCACAGCTTTCAAAAGCTGGCTTTTAATAATAAAAATAAAACTAAGCATAAAAATTTGGAATTTTATGCCAAATATTTCTGTTTCGGTTCTGTCTGAACTGCTTTCAAAATGATTAAGGTATTAAAATTTAGAATTTTGTAATTCACCAATTTTTAGTAAGTTTTCAGAAGATGTGCCCTTCTGCCATCTGTCACTCGTAGAGCTCCTATTATTTGAATAAATCCTAGCTAGTTAGCTCACCGAAGTTCCAATTCCACAGTGCATGCCTGAGTCTTGATGTTATCTAAATAGCAAGGAGCTTATAGGCTATTGTGCTTAACCAAACCCTTCCTTGAATTTATAATAAACTTGATTTGCTGTGTGAGTTTAAAAAAAAAAAAAAAAAAACAGTATGGGACAAAGTGAAGCTACTGGGAAAAAAAATCTCACTACATTAAATATGCCAATTTTTGAAAGTTTACTTATTTTTTCACATTATGTAATTACTACAAACAATTAAAGTATACTATTTATCCTATACCATGCTAAAAGTTAGTCAGATTTCATTCCTTAAAACAAGATCAGTTGTTTTCAGACACAGAAATCTCCAAACCTCAAAGACATCTTTGCTTCAAACCTGAGTTTCTCAAGAGTTGTAACAATATTATAATAGTGAGTGTGGAGAGTGTTGAATTTTTTTAAGGATAGTCTATGTACGTGCCTACAATTCCAAAGTAGGTAATTTCACGAAGTGATTTAAATAACGACCTGTAATCAAGTAAAAGTTCAGGCAAAGCAATTTTGAATAATACATTTTTAATTTAATTTTTTCCTTCAGTCAGTATTTGCCATCTTCAGCAGTACTGAAGTAAAAAACTAAAATTAAAAATGCATTATTCACCGAGGCGGGTGGAATGCCTGAGGTCAGGAGTTTGAGACCAGCGTGGTCAGCATGGTGAAACCCCATCTCTACTAAAAATACAAAAATGAGCCAGGCAAGGTAGCATGCGCCTGTAATCCTGGCTACTTAGGAGGCTGAGGCAGGAGAATCGTTTGAACCTGGAGGTGGAGGTTGCAGTAAGCCAAGACTGCGCCACTGCACTCCAGCCAGCATGACAGAGCAAGACTCCATCACACACACACACCAAAAAAAAAAAAGCGCATCATTCAAAATTCACAGCTGGGTGCAGTGGCTCACGCCTATAATCCCAGCACTTTGAGAGGCCAAGGCAGGAGGATCACATGAGGCCAGGAGTTTGAGACCAGTCCAGCCAACATAGTGAAACCCCATCTCTACTAAAAATACAAAAATTAGGCAGGTGTGGTGGTGCATATCTGTAATCCTAGTTACTAGGGAGAGGCTGAGGCAGGAGAATTGCTTGAACCCAGGAGGCGGAGGGTTGCAATGAGCAGAGATCACACCACTGCACTCCGGCCTGGGAACAGAGTGAGACTCTGTCTCAAAAAAGAAAAAAAAACTCACAAAAATAAATAAGTATAAAAGAAATTCCAGTAACTGAATTTCTCAATGGTGTTTAAGTTTATAACATATATAATTCTGGAGTTTTAAAAATTAAAACTTCACTGAGATTTCTGTGACACCTTGTATTGTTGAATGAGAGAAGGAATTATCCCGCTTTGTTTTGCAGTCCTAGATTTTTTTTCTGAGAATTACACATACCTACCAATGTTAAATAAATATTTGATAAACCCATCTTTAAAGACCACACAAGCCAAGAGTGCTTTAATGATCTTGAAATATAAACAGCACAGCTAGCATTCTAAATATTATTTTATTCTCAAACTTGTAAAATTTACAGTAACTGAGAAGATAACCTTGTCCAGTTCAAAATCAGTTCTACTTTTTGCTGTTGAAATAAAATATGCCCCAATACGTTTAAAGCCTTAACTTTAGTCATTGAACAATTTCAATTTTAATACCTATACAAATATATACAAAAAGAATTTTTAAAAAATCAGAATCATCCAACTGTAATAACCAAATTGTGACAATTCTTTATGAGGGCAAAACTTAAAACTTCAAGTCAGCTCCTAAAAATAAGAATGACATAATATAATTTAATGAATACATGGAAATTTTACAAGGATACCAGCTAAATTTTAACAAAGCTCTACTCAATACCCACTTTATCACTTCCCATCTTGGACTTTCTCTTATAATATGCTTTTGTTTCTGTGTTTAGGCTTAAGGAAGACCATTGTATCCAATATACACCAAACCAAGACTGTATTTACATTTGTAAAGTGGAGTCTTTGTATAATTATACTTTTTTGTATGTTACAAAACAATGTGATAGCTATAACAAAATAAGCTATAATTAGGAAAGATAACATAATTACCTGTATTAGGATCAATATGAAGAAGAGTTTAGCCTACACTATACCATTAATTCTTGCATAGGTACTTTATCGCTTTTATCATATACTCTATTTAAAAAACAAAATCAACCCTTTTATTCAGAGAAATCCTACAGAGTTTTGTCTAATTGTATAGTATTTGGCAAAAAGGGGGACATTACCTTTGGACTGACAAATGATACGTGCATTTTACTCTCTCTTTATAAAAAAAAATGTGCAAAATATCATTTATATGCAATGTAATAAAACAGTTTGCATTCTCAAAATGTCCACTTACGTCACTGAGAGATTTTCTATTTCAATTATTCAAGCTACTATGTTCTTAAAACTTTCATACTTTCCCCTAAATTGTTAAAAAGTATGTAACTTTTTAAAATTCCACATTCAAGGTTAAGAATTTTAAGACTCTTATGATTGCTAGATAGATTTCAAAACATTACTACTATCTACGATGAAAAATGCTGCGGCAGGCAACAGGAAACAGTGATAAGTCCCAGACTGAATATTCAGAACTGGCAGAAGTAAAATGGCTTAGAGAGAAAACTGGCACCTACTCCTGAGATAATCAAAAAGGCGAATACATCAATAAATTGGTGACAATGGCTACCTCTGGGCTGGGTGGGAGTGAGGAAGAGACACTAGTGCCTTTTGAATGCCTTCCCGAAGGAAGACTGAATAGTTGATTGAATATATGCCTAAACTTCTAATTCTACAATGCATGGCCAACCCTGAGTTCTAAACTTGTAGGAACCTTTGAAGCACATCATGGTGCTCTATCAGACCATTCTCTTTGCCTGCATCTTACCCCAGGCAAGAGAAAGTTGTCATTCTGAAAGCTCCTTTAACAAGTATACTTCTATTAATTAGATTTATTTCTATCTCCTCTACATTTTGGCCCAGCTGAAAAAGCATGTGCCTATAATACAGCGTTAAGTAGCAGCAAATTCTAAAAAAAAAAAAAAAAAAAAAAAGAAAAGAAAAGAAAAAGAAAATTTGAGACAGCATCTTGCTCTGTCTCCCAGGCTGGAATGCAGTGGCACAATCTTAGCTCACTGCAACCTCTGCCTTCCGGGTTCAAGCAATTCTCTTGCCTCGGCCTCCTGAGTAGCTGGGACCACAGGTGTGTACCATCACGCCCAGCAAATTTGTTGTGCTTTTATAGAGATGGGGTTTCACTATATTGCCCAGGATGGTCTCAAACTCCTGGACTCAAGCAATCTGCCCACCTCAGCCTCCCAAAGTGCTGGGATTACAGGCGTGAGCTACCACGCCCAGCCCTAAATTATTTTTATCAAACTAATTCATCTAAGTATTAAGTGTGCATCTTATGCCAGGTTCTTTACTACATTACAACAGTAGGATTTACAACTTCATCCCCAAAACAAACAAACATAAATGAAAACAGCACAAGAGTCACTTTAGATTCAGTGGCTGGCTTTGTCGAGCAACAGTGTAGTGGCCTTCAGGTGGCTGGAGGTGACTAGCAATTTGCAGTATCTTTGACTTCACTTAACAGAACAAAATGCAAATCTCTGTGAAGACCCTGACCTTCAGCCTGGAGGAGGAGCCCAGTGACACCACTGAGAATGTAAAGGCCAAGATTCAGAGTAAAAAAGTATGCCCCCTGACCAGAAGAGGCTCACTTCTGCAGGCAACCAGCTGATTGCTGCAGGCAACCAACACTCTTTCTGATTACAACATCCAGAGTCAACCCTGCACCTCGACGCCATCTGAGGAATGGCTGTCAGTTCTTCAGTCTCCTTTTCGCAGTGCCCAATGACGACATTAACTCTGCACCGTAGCCATTTGCCCCAATTTAAATTTAGAAATGACCAGTTTCAGTAGTAGCTGAACCTGTTCAAAATGTTAATAAAAGTTTTGTTGCACAGTAGCCAAAAAAAAAACACAGTCAACCTTAACTTTTCCTTAAATAACAATTAATTCAACATGAACTATGATGCAAGTTCCTTCACGCTGGTCTCAACTTCTTCTCCACTAAAATAAGGCAGATAGAATAATTTCTACAATAAGTATCAACCAAAAAGGTTTTGAGCTACACAAGCATAGCCTTTGTATATGGCCTGCTGGTACACTCTTTCACCACTAGGGGATGTTCCAACATTAGTAAGGAGAAAAGGCTGAGTTACAACAAGACTTAAGAAATAGAACTGCTGCAGTTATCTGAAGTGATCAAGAATGATTAAAGATGAGAAATTATCTCAAAGAACTAAAAACAGAACTACTATTCAACCCAGCAATCCCATTACTAGGTATATATCCAAAGGAAAATAAATCGTTCTACAAAAAAGACACATGCACTCATATGTTCATCACAGCACTATTCACAATAGCAAAGACATGGAATCAACCTAGGCATCCACCAACAGTGGATTGCATAAAGAAAATGTGGCACACATACACTATGGAATACTATGCAGCCATAAAAAATAATAAAATTATGTCTTTTGCAGTAACACGGATGCAGCTGGAGGCCATTATCTAAGCATTCGAATTAATGCAGAAACAGAAAACCAAATACTATATGTTCTCACTTGTAAGTGGGATCTAAACATTGGATATACATAGACATAAAGATGGGGAACAATGGACACTGGCAATGACTAGATGAAGGAAGGGGTGGGGCAAGGGTACCTATTGGGTACTCTGCTTACTACCTGGTTGATGGGATTAATCATACCCCAAATCTTAGCATCACACAATATGATCCATGTAACAAACCTGCACAGGTATTCCCTGAATCTAAAATAAAAGTTGAAATTTCAATGAGAAATTATATATTTTAGTACCAGTGGAGATCGTGACATGGAAAGCAGAATTGCCTTTCTAAAAGATGCCCTGCATTCATGTGTCTCAACAAAAAATTAATGTACGCAATAAAACACAAAACAAATGATAATGGGGCGGAGAGAGACAGCTATATTAATACTCCCTGTACATTCTAGTCTGAAAGTAGAATTTAGGAATCTTGCAAAGTTGTAAAGCAAGGAAGAGAACAATAACAAAGAGCAAATGAACCTATTACAGAACAAGACGATGTATTTAAAGTATAAAATTATATGGTAAGACATTATTTGCCCATTAAATTGGTGAAAAAAAAAAAACCTGACAAGGAGCAACCTTATATATTGGTCTTAGGAGTGAATCTGTCCTACCTTTTTAAAAAACCAATTGACAAGATACTTAAATTTTGTCTATGGCCATACCACCTTGAACGTGCCAATCTCATCTGATCTCAGAAGATATTTAAATTTAAAACCTATACACTTTGATCCAACAATCCCAGTTTTTAAAATCTATGACAAATACATATATAGGTACATAGGAACAAAACATGTATATTGCAGCACTGTTTGCAGCAGGGGGAAAAAACCTAGAACCCACCTGAACGTCCATCAATAGAAGAATAGATGAATAATTTATGGAATTAAGGAGAATGAGTTAAATCTATGTGTAGAAACCAAGATAGAGCTATGTAATATATAAAAACAGGAAAAAAGGAATATGTCTAATACACTATTTTTATAGCAACCAAATAACTCTGTGGATATGTGTTTTTAAAAGACCAAACAGAAAGGTGTAAGATACACACCAAACTGTTAACATCATCTTGTATTGCAAGGCAGAGGCTACCATTAACGGTTTCTTCAAATTCCTCTGCATCTTTAGATTTATGAAGTAGAGTATAAAAGTTTTGTGCTTTCTTTCCTTTGGGGGGTGACAGTGGGTATTTAAAAGCAAAAACACCTAGTTAGAACAAATAAAAGAGTTTTTCGGGTTTTTTTAAGAGATGGGGTCTCACTCTGTCACCCAGGCTGGAAGACAGTGGCACCGTCACAGCTGACCACAACCTCAACTCCTCAGCTCAAGGGATGCTCCCTTGAGCAGGAAGGGGCTGCAGGCCTGAGCCACCACACCTAACTAATTCCCCCAATTCCCCCATAAAGATGAGGTCTCTTCATCTTGCCAGGCTGGTCTCAAACACCTGGGCTCAAGGGATCCTCCCACCTTGGCCTTCCAAGCAGCTGGAAATAGGAGTATGTTAAAATAAGCAGAAAAGAAATCGTGTGGCATGGGCACTTAATATAATAGAAATTGACAAATCAAGAGTTTCAATAACAGCTTGTGTAAACAAACCAAATGATAAATAAGCCTAATTCCCCCAAACTAAAAATTATACTTTTTAGTTCAGAGTTAAGGTAAAGTTTTTGTTGAGTAATATGTAAATTAATGTCTTCCATTATAATGCAAATTAACAACTATTCATTTGAAACTGTAATGCTATTAATAAAAATCTCAAATAACTGCTGACATTTCAGTCATCAAATTAAAGATGGTCTCTGAAATTTAAACATTCATGAATTCTCATTTTACCATAGCTAAAATCAAGACACTGCTTAGATACAACCTTACAGCTGCTGCCGGCAAGTGGCTGCTGTGATGCGGTGCTCACTGCACACTCATGCTTCACACTGGCCACACCGCTCAGACTATGGTCATGCCAGCTAAGTAACGTGCACTGTTGCTAAGACTATGTTGAGTTTAAATTACTAATTAAAGTATTCAAAAAGATTACACTGTAGTTGCATAATACAACAAAAAGTAACGTTCTGCATAGAAAGATACTGAAATAGCGCAGCACGGTGGAGAGGAAAAGCTAGGATGAGAAAAAGGGGATGCTAGGGAATAATATAGGAATAGGGAAGAGTAGAGAAGAAAAAAAGAAGAGTGGAAGAAAATTTTCCAGAGGTTATACCTCCAAGTCTTCAGTGTGTTAAAAACATATAAACCTCAGAAATGTTTGTTTTTTCTTACTGATAGCAAACCTAAAAATAATTTTTTTCATTACTTCTGTATGGTTCACTTCAGAATTACTGTGCAATTTGAAACAAAGCAAAATTAGTTTTCCTCATGATCTACATACACTACAGAATGATTCATATTTCACTCTTCCAGATTCTGATTTGAAAAATCCAACCACAAAGAAGCACAAAATCACTAGGAAGCTATTCTGTACAAAAAGTAAAATCCTGCAAATGTATAAATGTAACTCATAGGTACTTGGGTCAACTTTAAGTTACATGAATTTGGGTTTTTCTACTTGAGTCCTTTGTCTAATCTGAAACCTACCCACGCTAACCCAGCATAGACAATGCAAAGGCCGTAACATTTACATTCAACAAATACTTCAAAAATACAGTAATATAAGTTGCTATTGAAGAAGTTAATCACCTTATTCACAGCACAACCATCATAAAAATGTTAACTTTCTAACCTCCTATGACTGTCCTGTATGCCACTATCCAGGATTTAAAAAAAACCACATACACACACACACGCACACAGACACACCCCACAATCAATGTATTTAGGCACTATAACAACCACAATAGTGACGCCTGTATGGGAATATTTAGTTTACACAACACTTTGATGGGCATTATCTACTCTTACTTACCAGAATACTGCCTTTCAAAACCAGGAAAAAATCATCTTCACTTAACCAAGATTAGTATTTTTCATTTTCACCAGAAAGTCAAGCATGGGGTGACTTTACATCAAAAAGCCTTACCAACAAATTTAAGGAATGACACGTAGGCAGCACCATCTTTCAAGGAACAAAATTCATTTAAAAACCAATTCTTACTCCACATGTACTTGAAATGCATTTCTCCATAAGGAAAATAGTGTCTAGATTCCTAAGATAGCCCACAAATGCCCATTTTACCTCTTACAACTCTGCTGAGCTGCAGTTCACATTACACTAGCCTGGGTTGCTGGGCAGGTAGCCAGGTTACCAAGCCTCCATTTCCTCTGCCCGCTTCTTAATTTTCCTATTAATATTCCTCAGGCTCTTCTCTTTGTAACAATCTCATCAGGGGTGGCACTACTGGACCATCGCGATGGCAACTACCAATTCACATTTTCAGCACTAATCTCTCATGTGCTTCAGACCCACAGATTCAACTACATGTTTGCAGACAGCTAACACTCAATAGGTTCATTTTCTCTTTCTTCCAAAAAATCTGCCCCACCACCCAGCCACCACCAATTCCCCCTACTCCTTTAATGAGTATGAGTTGCCTAAAAAGCCAAGCCAGGAATTTAGAAGTCACCTTCGAACTCTTCCTATCTCACACCTACATCCAACCGGCCACTCATCTTTTGACTACCCTTCTCAAATCCACCTCACCATGCCTATCTCCATCAGCTTTGCCTTGATTCAGGTCCTGAGCCCTCGTCTCCCTCATTCAAGTCTGTATGCAGCCAGATATGACCATTTCCCTCTCTACATAAAACTTCAGTAGCTTCCCGTTGTCTGTAGTAGCAATTCCCAAACTGGTAAAAGAGTACCTTCAAAGTAAGTTGTTGTTTTTTTTTTTTTTCAAAACAATTAAATTGAACTAGATTAAATAATATTAAGCAGGCCTCTCACTAGCAAAGTTTTGAAGTCTTACAACGCACAACATGATGTATTTCCCTGCCATGAGGAACTGGGGCGGAAGGGAGCCTCAACTGGGTTCCAAGGTCAAAGTCAAAACTGATTGCAAGACATGTAAGATCCTACAGACTCTGGCCCCGCCTAGTTGTCAACACCATCTGCCATTCATCAGTGGTTATCACTCGCCCCTTACAAACCTTACATGTCATTCATTTAGAACACAATCTGTAGTTCTTCAAAGAGCCCTACTGTTCCCTGACTCCACTTCTTTATATAGAATATTCCTTCTGCCAAGAATGCCCTTCTCTTAGTCTGGCTAAAGAGCTCCTACTTGCTCTTCCAGGACCAGCTCAAGCTACTAAGCTTTGATTGTCCCTTCCATCTCCTAGCAGAGGACTGCCCCCACCTTTCTCCCACCTCTGCAGGTATCAGAGCACTTTTCCAACAACGTTGAACTTATAGACTAAAAACCTTAAAGGCTGGGAACCAGGCAAGCATCCAGCAGTGCAGCTGAATAAAGGAGACAGGGCAAGACTGGGTGAAGGAGGGGTGGAATCCCTCTTCTTTTTGTGGGCAAAATTTGACAACAAAGTAATTTTGTCTTTGGCATGCTCCCGCATCTCATCCCTATTCCCCTTTCCCAGCTCTCCCAATATCCTGTGTTCCCAGGTCCCTTAGTGACCTCATGGAACTCTACACAACCTCCACCACAGCACTATGTTCTTCAGATCAACCCTTCCTCTTCCTCTTAATCAGGATCCTTCTGTTCAGAAGTTAACACATAAATTAGTGACAGCTTCTCATAGCTGTTAACCTAAGATGAATCACTAAGAAACAAAATTTTAAAAGAAGTATGGAGAGGATATGGGGAGTGGACACTCTATCGCACAGAAAGACTGGCCCAGAAGCATCTAGGAGTCTCTTCCTGACTGGGCCCCCCAGAAGTGTTTCCACCTCACTTCATCCACTCCTACAGATTAGCTGCAGTGAGTGCTACAGGTAGAGACAGAGCTGGGGCAGACACTACCATCCTACAGATCATCCATTCTTCTTGGGTTGAATACCTCTGTGTCTTTGTTTTAGTTTGAGACCACTTATGGTTAATTCTTCAGCAGACAGAAAGTTCTCACCAACATGTTCACCAATGAACTTAAAACAGTGTCTTCACTCTAGCCAAGCAGTTCCCTGAAATCTAACCCCAAACTACTGCTTGACTAGAAAAAGGTAAATTAAATCAGAAAACCAAGATGTTGTCAAGTATCCTAATTTTTCAGATAAATCTGTAAATATTAAATTAGCATTCTAGCAATAATCATTCTGGTTTATTGCCAATTTGATTTCATAAAAACTCATTTGTTAGAATGGTATTGCCTACCATGTGCCAACTAGTGGTCTAAATGCTGGAGGTTACAAGATTAAATTTCTAACCTTAAGGAACCACATCTAGTAGGCTAGACAAATAAGTAAGCAAACAAATATCAAACAAAATGGTGACCAATGGCACCAGGGAGAAAGAGAGAACCAAGAACAGAAAAGACTTCAAAAAAGAACTATCTCTTGATCTAAGACCAGAAGGATGTAAACTTGATCAAGCAAACAAGCAGTAAGAGGAAAAATGTTAGGGAGAAAATAGAGAGATGAAACCCAAGCAGGGGAACTGCCACATGCAGAGGTACTATAGTGAGAGATCCTAAAAAATGCCAGGAAAACAAGTTATTTAAACTGACTGGTGCACGGGGTGATAGCCTTTGAGGAATAATTACAAATGGAGGTTTAGAAGGATAGGACAGGATCAGATTATAAGGAAGGGTCTTGTTAGACATGATAAACAATACAGATTATCTTGTAGGTGATGGAGATTCTGAACTTTTGTCACCTGAAAGAGATCCTAGGCCAGGCCAAGGAGCCATATTCCTGAAGAATACAACGTGAATGGTATCCTCTGGACTTGTGCAATGCAACAGCACAGTGTTTACCTGCTGGACTGTGTATGTGTAAGAGAGAAGAACTCATTCATCGATGTCTCCCCAGCATCCAGCCCTGTGTTTGGCATGTACAGGAACTAAAACACTATTAAATAGTTAGAAGTACCAACACAGTCCTAAAGGCATAACCAAGAGGCCCTAACCAAGCCCCCTTCCTTGCTACCTATAAAATCACAACTCTTATACACTACAATAACTTATCATTGCCACAACTATTAAGGGAACATGAAGAATAGTGAGTCACTATGGGCCGCACCAGAGATTAGAAAGGATTGGGGCGGGGGGTACTCTTTAAGATGCTTCTGAATCTGACTAAATTAATGAGCTTATTCTATTCTCTTCATCAAACACTGAACAGAAAACCATGGGTTAGCTTAAAATTATTCTTCAACTAACTCTAAGGCAGTGCTGACAATTATGAAAAGTACATTTTCATATCAAAAAGACCCATTAAATATTTCAATTAAGCGTGTGCTAGGTTAGTCTAGTCTTTCAAGTAAGTGCTACAGACAAAATTATGTCATTTGCCTATTGTACTTTACATTTTACTTAGTATACTAATCTACTTATTATAATTAGCATTAAATAGGTTTCTATCTTTTGTGCTTAGGAAAATTAGAAACATAAACATTAAAAAAAGGAGAAACAAGGAAACTACAGATGAAAATTGTAAATGAGCTTAGAAAACTGGTGACTTAAGAAGCTAAGGCATGATCTAGAGATGAATGAAAAATCTTTGGTCTAAAAAAATAAAGTAAAATAAAATAAAATTTAAAAAAAAGAAAAATCTTCGGTCTATAAGGAACCAGTGACTAGGATTCCATGTTTAAAGAAATCTAAAGGTCACAAAATTGAAATATAATTCAAAGTCTTCTTTAAAAAAAAAGTAGAAATATTTGACTAATCAGAATTTTTAAATGAAAATAATGCATATAAAGTCCTATAAAATAAATACAATTACAGATAGTTTTAAATTTTATAAGGTGGTCAGAGACAGAGACATTGGGTAACAGTAACAAGATGGGAGAGAAAACAGACTGCAAACACACCAGAGACACAAAGAGAAAAACTAAAATATACATAAAATGTATATCGGAGATACATGAGGTTAACATCTTGAGCTTTTGAGGATGTTGCTACTAAAGATACAAAATCATAGATTGTTTTGGACATAAAAAGCCTGAATATAACATTATTGCCTGCTGTTCCAGTTAACAAAAAAACAAAGAGCAATCATCAATCACACCCCACACACACATCTGACTTGTTTTGAATATCTTCAATGTTACTAAGTTAACAAATAATAAGTTACCCTTCACTCAGACTCTTATCCTTACAATTCTCTAAGGTACCCTTTATCACCTCTATCTGGCAAATAAAAAAGCTCTCAGAGGTTCAGTGACTTACTTAACCCAGACTACAAGACTGGTATGTGACAGAGCTGTAATTCAAAATCACTATGGCTCTGAAGCCCACATTTTTATCCAATACACCATGCCCTCTCCCAGGACATAAGACTGTTAAGTTTTTAGCCACCATCATGTTTTTACATACTCATGTTTTCTTACTGTGCTATCCCCAGAGTAATACTTAAGTTTAGATACTTTAAATTTCATGGAATCCATTAATAATTTACATCGCTCTTTTAAAACAATGCAGATCTTGCTAGCAGTAAGGAATAAATTTATTCTTTAAAAAAACAAAACAAAAACACTCAAAGTAGTTGAGTATCCCCTCAGAATGACAGACAGTACCAATAATCTCCTAATATTCTCAACTTTATTACCTAGCCTTTTAATTATACTAGATCTTTTTGTGGCATAACCTTACGGAGATAGCAGATGTTCATAAATACCTAAGTTATTTCTCCATTATTCACACTGTGGAGTCACATCATATATGCACTTAATTAAAACCAATTCAACTACTTACACTCTGGGGGGAAGCAACAGAGAAAAATAATTTGAATAATGATGATAGTATGCCTTCCTTTACATCCCTGTCCCAGAGTGAGCATGAAATGAAGACTATAAATCCGCTATGCTCAGTCAATCTAAGACCCATTCACCTGTCAAAACGGTCTCACACAGCTGGTGAGGATTCCAGCTCACCAAAAAAGGGACCTCTCTAAAACTACAGGAAAAACTGGACACTAGAATTGAAAGACAGAATGTCAGTTTCCAACCAGTTTTCAAACTGGTGCCTTTTTAAAAGACTTTTTCCAAGGGTAATTTTGACTACACAGGATTTTTATCTGAGAATTTAGGCCCAAAGGCCCCATGAGCAGTGATTGCACTTTATTCAGCTCTTTAGATCAATCAGAAAAAAATCAGGACCCAAAACACTTGTCTTTTATATCAAAATAAATAACTAAAATATATTTCATCCTATTTCACAAATGGAAAAAAAAAAAAACAGAGCAACAGGGATGCTATGAAGAAACCACCCTTAGACACATATGTGGGAGCAATTCCATGACTCATTTTAAACAAACTAAAAATAGTTTGTTTCAAGAAGTCTGTCAAGCAAGCAAAGGCAACCCTTAAAAGTTGGCTCTCACTGGAAAAAAAAAATGCAAAAGTTTTGAGATGTGCCATTACTACAGAGTACAAAATTAAAGCAAGGGTGAAAGGAACACCCAAGCTAGAGAAAGGATCTGGGGTTAGACCATAAAGGATCCTTTATGCTGTCACTTACTTCACTTTCCTCTTCTCTAAAAAGGCACTAATCTAAATAATCCATGATCTCTCCGCATTATTTTCCAGTCTCACACCTCTTTATTTCAATGTTCAACTCCTTTGTGAAAAAAAAATAAGAAAAACTCACTGAGCTAGAACCATCTTTCACCTTACCACCCAACATCAGTTACAAGTATTTTTACTTCAAACTTGAGAAAGATTCTGTAGACATCAGCAATTTCCAGACCACATAATTAGGAAATTCTACTTTACATACTTAAGTGACTTTTTCTGGAAATTTAATTTCTTATCTAACTAGTCTCTGAGTGTCAATTGATCATTTAAAACCAAGATCCACAGGGAGTAAGTGTAAGAATCAACAAAAAAGACAAAATTCTGATTAACAGATTAATTTTGCGGTCTTGACGTTTACTATTCGAGTTAATGTTTTACCATCTCAGACTCTAGCAAAGGTTCCAATATGACCCTGTGGGTCTAAGATGTTAACAGATATGGTATTGGCATAGTTCCCTCTAGAGAATCATTTTATGGAAACTTTTCAGCAATCACCATCCTCAAACAACCTTCCTCAGTGTCAGACACTTATTTGGACAGTTCTCTCCTTTATTCCGTTTTTCTCCCTTCTTACTGATTACCATAAAGTCATTTTTTAAACTATCATAACAGTGATCATTTTTTCCAATTACCATTTACTCATGTCATCTCATTTTACCTCTATTTTTAACCTGATTAATACAAATTATTTTTGGTTGTTTTAAGACAAAGTCTTGCTTTGTCACTCAGGCTGGTCTCAAACTCCTGGCCTCAAGCCATCCTCCTGCCTTGGCCTCCCAAAGCACTGGGATTTCAAGCATGAGTCACTGTGCATAACCTACTAACACAAATCGTTTTAACTCCTTTTATAATCACTAGTTATCTAGTGATAACTGATTAACTGTGGACCTTCTTCTACCTTACAAATATCTACTTTTCTCCAGATTAATTTGAGCCCAGAACTTTTTCATTTTTTTAAACCTAAATCTTAATTAAAATTATGTGCCAGAAATCTGAGCCTCTCTTACTTCTCTACTCTCAAAATATGATGTTCAACAAAACTCAAACGAGAACCTAACAATTTCCTTGCTTCTTGCATGCTATTTGAACTTAAGTGGTTAATTAGAACATGGTTTTGGCTGGGCAAGGTGGCTCATGTCTGTAATTCCTACACTTTGGGAGGCTGAGGCAGGAGGATCACTTGAGGCCAGGAGTTCTGAGACAAGCCTGGGCAACAAACCGAGATACTCATCTCTACAAAAAAATTTTAAAGGCCGGGCGTGGTGGCTCACGCCTGTAATCCCAGCAGTCTGGAAGGCCGAGGCAGGCGGATCACAAGGTCAGGAGTTCAAGATCAGACTGGTCAACATGGTGAAACCCAGTCTCTACTAAAGATACAAAAAATTAGCCAGGCATGGTGGTGGGCACCTGTAATCCCAGCTACTCGGAAAGCTGAGGCAGGAGAATCGCTTGAACCCAGGAGGCGGAAGTTGCAGTGAGCGGAGATCGCGCCTCTGCACTCCAGCCAGGATGACAGTACAAGACTCCGTCTCAAAAAAAAAAAAAAAATTTTTTTTTAAATTAGCCAGACATGATGGCACACACCCGTTGTCCCAACTACCCTTGTTGCTGAGGCAGGAAGGTCGCCTGAGCCCAGGAACTCAAGGCTGCAGTGAGCCATGATCGTGCCACTACACTCTAGCCTGAGTGAGAGAGCGAGACTCTTTCTCTGGGGGGAAAAAAAAAGAAAAAAGGACGGGGTGCAGTGATAAATGCCTGTAACCCTAACACTTTGGGAGGCCAAGGCAGGCAGACTGCTTCAGTTCAGGAGTTTGAGACCAGCCTGGGCAACACGGTGAAAACCCACCTCTACAAAAAAAAAAAAAACTAGCTGGGTGTGATGGTGCACACCTGTGGTCCCAGCTACTCTGGAAGCTGAGGTGGGAGGACTGCTTGAGCCCAGAAGGTCAAGGCTGCAGTGAGCCATGACAGAGCCACTGCACTCCAGCCTGGGAGACAGAGCAAGACCCTATCTCAAAAAAACTCAACATGGTTTTGACGACTACAGATTTACTCTCTCCATAGGCCAATTAGCTTCATTTTCACAAAAACTATGTTCCAAAACCAAGGCTAAATCCCATCAGCTACCTCTTGGATCCAGATGAGATATGGCATATTCAGAATACATTCAGAGGTAACACCAAGAAGAAATTTAATTTCTAATTTCTTCTGGCTACTCCAGGCACACTGCCTATCGAGCAGCCCTGTTCTGCAAGAAGCAGTATTAAAAAATGTTTTTAAAACTTTAAAAAATAAGAAATGTGATTCTAAGGAGGGAGAGAGAAGGGAGAAAAGGATGAGTACAACATATCTAAGAGTTAAACTGAGCTATATTTGAATGGATGATAAATGGAATAGGAGTTGGCAGCTTATCACCTATCAAAGAAAACAGTCAAAACAGTTCACAGTTGTGTGCTAAAAGAAGGTGATCTAGTGTGTGACACCTATTAAGATGACATATCTGATTTATCACCAGAATCTGAGGTTCAGAGATGTTATGTTGCCTAGTCACATACAACTAACCTTATAAACCCAGAGACAGAAACCTCTGTGTTAAGCACATTAACACAGAGCTAGGTTTCTGTCTGTCTTCAAAGTCGCTTATACTGTAAGCTCCTTAACTTCTTTAATTTTTTTTTTAACAAAGAAGAATATTGTTACCTGAAAGTGTTGAGGATTAGTTGAGACCATATGTAAAGAAAGGAGCACTTTTCCTGGCACATAATGGTTTCTTTCCTTCTTCCATTCCATATATTGAATCAAACTATGCTTGTATAACGTGGTGGTTTTGTAACTACTGTGAATATGAGGTTTTAGAATATGAATATGCTTTATTCCTAAGATAAATAGTAATCTTAGGACATAGGCACTATATCATATTACTATGGATATACAACCTACTCAATGGTCAAACTCAGTGAGAATAAGCAGTGATGGGGACGCCCTATGGAACTTTATCTTTATTCTGTCTTTTTTCTCAGTCTCAGTGATGTTGGAAATAAGAACTTTATACTTGTGAATGACAACAAAGTGGTTTATAATCTCGAAAATCTTGAAGACAGAAATAGGATTTCAAAATGAGCTCGATAATGTGGTTTATCCAAAGCGGATTCTGTGTGTTGTATATTTGGTGACCTAAACTAACTATGTAAGTATCAACCGCCAAGCTCGGTGGCTAGCGCCTGTAATACCAGCACTTTGGGAGGCCTAGGCAGGAAGATCACCTGAAGTCAGTAGTTCACGACCAGCCTGGCCAACGTGGTGAAACCCTGTCTCTACTAAAAATACAAAAAATTAGCTGGGCGTGGTGGCACACACCTGAAATCCCAGCTACTTAGGAGGCTGCGACAGGAGAATCGCTGAAACCCAGGAGGCAGAAGTTACAGTGAGCCGAGTTCACACCACTGCACTCCAGCCTGGGCAACAGAGCAAGATGCCATCTCAAAAAAAAAAAAAAAAATTTAAAGCAACCAAATAGTGTCACTTTTCCTACCCAATCCCCTGACCAAAGCCAGGCATTGTTGTTCTAACAAGGCTCAAAATCTCAATTATTTCACTCTCTGCCTGATCTAATGGTAGGATAATGCAAATCAAAGATACCAGCAAAAGTTATGTTCTACAACAATCATTAATAATAGGTTTACTACTTCGAACAACTTCCAAGCACTGATTTGCCTTAAAGGGGTTGCAAACCAGGATGAGATGCCCACACACATTGATTTTTGGCAACTGTAGTCTATTAAGCAAAGCAACAAACCTCTAGAGAAAATAATGTCACATATATTCCAGTGAAACAAAATTAATACATGTACCTTGGTAAAGAGGCTGAGCTCTAACCAAAGATAGAGCACTGTTCATTACGTACTCACCCTTCAAAGGAATCAAATCGAAACACTTTCATTTTAACAACGATACTTTTTAAAGGCTTTATTTTGCAATAATCTTTCAAGTCCCTGCATTTCTTAGATTCCTTAAATTCTAACTTCCTGCCTCATAGATCTAAAGTAGCCATGACATACCCAGGTATGTTCTACTCATTTAGTTAGAATCGTATAGAGGAACACAAGTCTGTTTCTAGGTGTACGACTCCACACCCATTCATTTTGCACTAATATAACCACTAAATATAGCTCTAAGACACTGATGATTAAAAGCGGCTAATTATGTGAGTGATTCATACCTCCTATGTCCAAACACCAAGATTCAGGGATGTCTGTCAGATCTATGGGAAGAGGAAACAATAAACACCTGTCACAAAGCTTCTTCCACACCGGGAAGCCCCCAGCTGAGTTCCTGCCAATCCCAACCCGATTCCCTCCCCCTTCATCCCTACCCCTCACCTCCCCAAAAAAGCCAGAGGTCATACTTCCACCAGAACCTGACTCTGTGAAGGGAATGGAGAGACAGAAAGGCCATAGCGAGAGTGGCCACGAGAGCACTGCTAGGGCAAAGGGCCCTGGGTTTTTCTAGTCCTCACTGCCACAGAGTCCGAGTGGGAGGCCTCAGGCAAGTCAGAAGTCACTTTTCCTCCACGGGACTCACTCCTTTTATCTGTGAAATGCGGAGATGGCAAGCAGCTCCATACTCCACGGCTGAGGACGAGCTAGGGTCCCGCACAGACTCATCGAGGGCCCTGCCAGCACCCCTACGCCTCTGCCCACAGGACCTCCACCTCCCACAGGACTTTCCGAAAGCTCTGACTACCAACCACCAAGCGCCCGGCCCCCACGCTCGCCCCCGGCAGGCGGCGCGTCCCCCCCAGGCCTTCGCACCCACCGCGTGGGCTCCTGCCCTGGCCTCACCTGCCCCCGACACTCCCCGTCCCCGCGATGCCCAACTCCGGCCCGAGAAGGCTGGCCGCGACCTCGCCCGGTACCCGCCGCCCCGACACCACCATTCGCCTCCTCGACCTCCCCCGGCGCCGCTGCCCACCCGCCCCTCGCCCCGCTCACCGGGGCCGCTCACTGGCCGCCGCCGCGCCGCCTCCTCCGCGGCCTCCCTCGCGGCCGGACCAGCCCCAGGGACCGCGGGGGACCCGGCCGCCGCTGTCGCCGCCGCCGCCTCGCCTCAGCCCAGCCCCATCGCCCTCGGCCGGCGCCGCGCGCTGCGGCTCAGGGTGAGGGAAGGAGGCGCCGCGGCGGGGCCGGGCCGGCCCTGGGACGTCCGCGCTCTCCTCCTCCTCCGCGCCCGCGGCGGCGGCGTGCAGCCGGCAGGGCGAGAACAAGGGAGGGCGGCGGGAGGTGGGCAGGGGAGGGGGGCGGTCTGCACTCCGAAACGGCCCCCCCGCCGCCAGCGACGTAGAGAACCCCCCTCCCCTCCGCGGCGGCGCCCGATCACGCTGCGGGGAGAGCCGGCAGGCAGGCGGGGGAGCGCGCGCGGGCTCAGGACTCCCGCGCCGGATGTGAGGTCACGTGGTGGCTTCATCCCCGCGCGGAGGGCGGAGGGGCGCGGGCGACGTCAGGAGGCGGGGAAGGGGCGGGGAGGGGCGGGGCGATTTATAGGCCCCGCCCACCCATCGCCTTTGCCACCCTCGAACGGGCAAAAGAAAGAAAGAGGCAGGTAAGGGGAGGCGAGGCCGTCCAAAAACGCTGGGTGTCAGCCCGGGGTGGCTAATGGAGGGCGGCTTTTCTGGTGGGATGAAATGGAACGGCAAATCCCACTTCATCCCCTTTGGGCTATGACAACATCATAGTCCAATCTCCCATTTTATGAACAGGGAAACTGAGGCTCAGTGACTAGACAGACGTTGCCCAGAGTCATGGTCATGGAGGAAGCTTGTGCTAGAATGGTGGAGAGGAAACCAGAGCCCAGCTCCTAATGCAAGGCTCTTTCATTCCTTTAGCCACCCTCGCCCCCGCCAAAACAAACAGACAAAAAACTGTCATTCTCATATGACCACGGACTCTGCGCCCCGGCCGCAGGCGGAGGACAGGGAGGAGCGCACACGAGAAAGCTCCCACGCGCCCGCGCCTCGCCTCCGACGGGAAGGCGCCTCTTCCGACCGTCCTGGATGCAAATTAAATACTTCCCTCCGCAGAAGACTTATCTCGGGGTAGGGCCGCAGCCGGATTTCCAAATCGCGGGTTTGATTTTCGCTGCGTCCTCTCCGCGACGCGCGCAGGGAGCGCGCCCGGCCACCTGCAGCCTCTGGCTGCGGCCATCTTTCCGCCTGGGGCCACCTGGCCTGCGCCCTTTGTGCCCGGCCCGCTCCGTGACTGTTCTTCTTGCCGCTACTTACAGAACTCAGCCGCCTTAGCGTCTTAGAGAAGAGGACGGCATGCATGCGGACCCCGTCCACCACACCTGGAGAGCAGGGAGCCCTTAGTCCCTGGACACTTACCAGGGCCGCCACCCCTGGTCCACGCACGTGATGACATCTCACCAGGGGCAGCACACCGCCCGAGTCCGCGACACTGATAACACCTCCTGCGGGCAGGAGGGCGCCACAGCCACCCCTGGTCCCCTAGATTGTGTGAGGCTAGCATTTCTGCCCGCCTCTTGGCGTGGACAGCACGCTGGACCGAGATGGAACCACAGCTTTCTCTTCCCAATCCCTGGCCTCACCGTTTTGTTTCATACCTCACCGTTTGTTTCAAACCTCGTGGTGTTGAAATGATTAAATGAGATTAAGGGGTGTGTGGTAGTGTTGGGCAAACCACAAGAAAACGGTCTGGGTGGGGTCTGGCCCTAAAATCTTCCTCCCCCACCTCCCAGGCTTCCTTGCCTTGCTGCTTCCTCTCAGCCTTTAAACAGGTTGGCCTCTCCAAGTCCTAAAAACAAAATTATCAAGCCAACCTCCTCCTGAAGTGCTCCCTCCAACTAGCTTCCAAGTGTTTCATGCGGACCTCAAACAATGGTCTTCCCTGGCTGCCTCTGCTTCCTCATTTCTCAACACTTGGCATTCTGGCTTCTCCTCCCCAACTCTAACCCTTCACCTTGCTCAGGCAAGAGCAACTCATGACTTTCATTTTGCCAAACCTTGCAGGCATTCCTCAGGCCTTATCTCTCTGGTTCTTTCTGCTACATTTGACACCTTGGGATGACTCTCACCTTCTGGAATCTCTCTACTACCTTGGTTTCAGAAGAGTGAACCCTCTGGATTATCACATGAAGGTAAGTAAAGCCTCTGCCTCCTTGGTAACATCTACTTGTGAATCTGCACCTTAAATTCAGGATTCCACTCTAAGCCAACAACTTTGCTCACTTCACTCATTCTTCTGGGATTGCCTGCATCCTCATGGATGCAGCTCCCAAATTAGCAATTTCCAACCCAGACCCCTTCCACAAAATTTAGAACCAAATATCCAATTGCCTGCCAGGCAGCTCTAGCTAGATATCACAGACACCCCAAACTGGACATTTCCAAAACTGAACTCATTCTCTGCTTTCATAGCTGCCCCTCCCTCAGCTGTTGGCACCACCATCTCCACAGTCATCAGAATTAGAAAGTTGGGAATGAGTGAGTCATTCTTAATTCAGCCCTCTGCCTTACCCAATCACCAAGTCCTATCTATTTCACCTCCTTAATAAGCCTCAAATTCCTATGGTGGGCTGGGCGCAGTGGCTCATGCCTGTAATCCCAGCACTTTGGGAGGCCGAGGCTGGTGGATCACACGAGGTCAGGAGTTCAAGACCAGCCTGACAACATGGTGAAACCTCATCTCTACTAAAAATACAAAATTAGCTGGACGTGGTGGCACATGCCTGTAATCCCAGCTACTTGGGAGGCTGAGGCAGGAGAATCGCTTGAACCTGGGAGATGGAGGTTGCAGTGGGCTGAGATTGCGCCATTGCACTCCACTCTGGCCAAGAAGAGCAAAACTCCATCTAAAAAAAAAAATTCCTACGGTGGTTCCCACTGGCATCCATCCTTTCCAGCCTGAATTGTTAGACAAATTCAGCCTTCAGAGTGAACTACAATGCACTCCATTTAAAATCCTAAGAGTTTCCCTAGGCTTCTGGCTGCAGTGTATACCTCCAAGCTACCCAGCATGAACCTGTCAACGCGTTCGGGCTTTTAAAAGATCACAAAGAGCCCCAGAATTCGAGGTGCAGCCAAAGTAAGGCAACATACAGCCAGTCAAGGGAAAGCTATAGGAAAAAGAGAAAAGCAGTTGGATATTCCAAAAACTTTTCTGTTACAGATGTTTTGAGAATGGTGAAAAAAGGAATTTGGACACTGGCTTTAGAGGAAGTGCTGAGTCACCAGGAAAGGCTTGAGCATGTTTATGGGTTGAGGGAAAAGAAGGTGCAAGAAAAAAGGAGAAACCCAAGATAGGCGAGAGAAAGGGAGTGGAACAGTCTGGAGAAGTCCTGGAAGACTTACTGGTTCTCAAGTCATGATGATTCTGGGTCCAAGCCCACTGCTTCCCCCCTCTGATCCTACTCACTGTAAGCACCAACCCTGATTGCAGCTGCATGGAGGTAACAGTCATACCAGTAAGGTCTGACGTCACTTCTCAGAAAGGCTATTTTGCATCTTCTTCATCCTCAAAACCCCCATCTTTGCATGCCCTTCCCTCTCACTGTCCCCTTACTTCCTATTTCACTAAGAAAACATACACCATCAAGAGGAAAAATCCTCATCTTCCCACCCGCAAATCTGCGCATCATCCTACATCGGCCCCAGGATCTATTTTCCCACTCCAGAGAGGCAAAGCCTCCTCCTAACAGAGCTAGCTCTCCACAAAATGACCACTGTTAGGCCAACTCCAGGGGCTAGGCCTCCCCAAAATATTACTGTTGCCAAATCCGGAGGACACTTTGCAGGCCTTATCTTTCTAGTTCTCTCAGCAGCATGCATCTCCTATCCTTGAGACACTTTGCTGTTAGTTTTGATAACATACTCTATTTTGGAATTCCTCCTCCCTGTTTCTCTTTGTCTACTCCATCTCAGCCTCCGCAGGTGCTTCCTCTGTCCTTCTCTAAATGTTGCTGTTCCCCAAGGCTCAACCCAGGATCCATTCCTGTGTCTACACAAGGTTTGTTGTGTTTTTGTTTGTTTGTTTGTTTTTAATTTGACATCTCTTGACCTTACAAGAGTTGTGGATGGGCTTCAGAAGGATCTATAAGCTCCTTAAACTTGGATGCAAATACTTTTAAAGGAAGAAGTGGAGCTTTTAGCAGCTTCTCAAAGGTGTCTGGGTCCCCCAAAAAAGATAAGAGGACTGATCCACATGCTCTCCCCTGGTGGCCTCATCTACTATGGCTATAGCTGTCATCTGCATGTACATTAATAACTGTAAACTGAGGCTGGGCATGGTGGCTCACGCCTTTAATCCCAGCAATTTGGGAGGCCGAGGCGGGCGGATCACCTGAGGTTGGGAGTTTGAGATCAGCCTGGCCAACATGGTGAAACCCCATCCACTAAACATACATAAATTAGCCAGACGTGGTGGCGTGCGCCTGTAATCCCAGCTACTTGGGAGGCTGAGGCAGGAGAATCACTTGAACCCAGGAGGCAGAGGCTGCAGTGAGCTGAGATGGCACCATTGTACTCCAGCCTGGATGACAGAGCAAGACTCTATCTCAAAAAGAATGTCAACCATATGCCTGCAGCCCAGGCCACTCCTCAGAGTCCCTTGGCCATTCCTCCCTATCATTTTCACATGGGGTTTCACTGGTGCCAGATAAGTTCACTTATCCCAAACTTAACTCTTGCCTTTCTTCCCCAAATCAGCTCCTCTCTCCTGGGCCTCCTGACCTTAGCAAAGACGCTGTCACCCAAACAACTGCTGAAGCCCAAAACCTGGGAGTCATTCTTTACACCTCCCTCTCCTTCACCACCCCATCCAATCCAACACCAAGTCCATTTCAAATCCTTCCCCATTGCTCCATTTCACTGCCACTAGAATAATGCATGCCCCCTCATCTCTCACCTCGCACGCCCCCTCCATCTCTCACCTGGCATGTCCCCTCCACTCTCACCTGGCATGCCCCCTCATCTCTCACCTGGCATGCCTCCTCATCTCTCACCTGGCATGTCCCCTCCATCTCTCACCTGGCATGCCCCCTCCATCTCTGACCTGGCATGTCCCCTCCATCTCTCACCTGGCATGCCCCCTCATCTCTCACCTGGCATGCCTCCTCATCTCTCACCTGGCATGTCCCCTCCATCTCTCACCTGGCATGCCCCCTCCATCTCTGACCTGGCATGTCCCCTCCATCTCTCACCTGGCATGCCCCCTCATCTCTCACCTGGCATGCCCCCTCATCTCTCACCTGGCATGTCCCCTCATCTCTCACCTGGCATGCCTCCTCCATCTCTCACCTGGCATGCCCCCTCATCTCTCACCTGGCACTAGTGCATTCGCTCCCAGTGGGTTCCTCTGCTTTTGCCCTTGCCCACCTCCAGTGCATTATCACACAGCAGCCAGAGTATTAGTTTATGTGACTTCAAGCAGAGCTGCTGATAAAAGCTTTCACTTGCTTCCCACCTCACTTGGAATACTAGATGAACTTCTTGGGTCCACAAAGTCCAGTGCAGGATGTAACCTGCCCACCACTTCCCCCTCCACTGGCACTCCTCTGCTCTCCCCGTCTTCTCACCGCAGACCCCTTCCCCAAGTTACTCCAGCTACACTAGGCCTTCTTTCAATTCCTCAAACGCACCAACCTCTTTCCTGACTCACGGTCTTTGTACAATCTATTCTTTCCCTTCCCTTTTTTTCTTGCCTGACTAACTTATAAGTTCAACTTTGGGCTTAAATGCATATACAGTTGTCCCTCGATATCTACAGGGAATTGGTTTCAGAACCTCTGTGGATACCAAAATCCAAAAATACTCAAGTTTCTTGGATAAAAGGGTATAGTATTTGCATATAACCTATATACATCCTCCTGTGTACTTTTTTTTTTTTTTTTGAGACAGAGTCTCGTTGGGTCACCCAGGAGTACAATGGCATGATCTTGGCTTAGTGCAACCTCCGCCTCCTGGGTTCAAGCAATTCTCCTGCCTCAGCCTCCCAAGTAGCTGGGATTACAGGCATCCGCCACCAGGCCCAGCTAATTTTTTGTATTTTTAGTAGAGACAGGGTTTCACCATGTTGGCCAGGCTGGTCTTGAACTCCTGACCTCAGGTGATCCACCTGCTTCAGCCTCCAAAAGTGCTGGGATTACAGGCATGAGCCACCACAACCCGTGATCTATACTTTAAATCATCTCTAGATTACTTATAATACGATGTAAATTCTATGCAAACATATTTTTATGTATAGTATTTTTATTGTGTTGTTATTGTATTTATCTCAAGGCTGTGGTTGTATGACACTTATGTAAGATTGAAAAAATAATGGTTGTTTATTTTTGTAAATGTGAGAAGGACTTTTGGGATTATGGGAAACAGGCACATAAAATATCCTTCTCACCCGGGCACAGTGGCAGGTGCCTGTAGTCCCAGCTACTTGGGAGGCTGAGGTGGGAGGATTTCTAGGATTGCCTAAGCGCAGGAGTTTGAGTTTATGGTGAGCTATGATTGTGCCACTGCACTCCAGCCTGGGCAACATAGTGAGATCTCAGCTCTTAAAAAAAAAAAAAAAAATCCCCCATCCCCACCCAAACCATCTCTTTGTGCTGCTACTGGTAAAGAATAAGTCAGTTTGGCTTATCACTGTAGACCCAGCACTAGATGAAGCCTGGCATGTGATAGACACTCAAATGTTTGCACCTGATGGATGACTGAATGAATGAATTTACGATCTCAGATATCATCTCTAAATGCCTTCCCTGACTCCCAGGCTAAGAATCCCTCTTTAGCTGAGCGCACGGCTCACCCCTGTAATCCCAACACTTTGGGAGGCCGAGGCAGGTGGATCACTTGAGGTCAGGAGTTCGAGACCAGCCTGGCCAACATAATGAAACCCCGTCTCTACCAAAAATACAAAAATTAGCCAGGTGTGATGTCAGGCACCTATAATCCCAGCTACTCAGGAGGCTGAGGTGGGAGAATCGCATGAACCCGGAGGTGGAGGTTTGCAGTGAGCTGAGATCACGCCACTGCACTCCAGCCTGGCAAGACTCCATCTCAAAAAACAAAACAAAAAGAATCCCTCTTTAGTGCATATTTGTCTCACTGCATTTACAACCTTGAATAAGCACCTATTTAGTGTTTTTGTTTTCCATGAGTCTACCTTATTCATGTTTTTTTCCTAAGGTTCTGAATACTTTCATATGTTATCTCATTTAATCATCACAACGATGCCAACACTAAAAGTAGTAGTGACTATTCTGTTCATTTTCATAGACGAAGAAACTTTACATATATGATCTCATTAACCTTTATAACAATTCTAGGAAGGAGGTACTATTATTTCTGTTTACAGATTGAGGAAAGCTTATTTCTGCTTACAAATTGAGGAAGATTATTTCTGCTTACAAATTGAGGAAAGCTTAAAAATCCCATTTTACAGAATGGAAAAAGAGGTGTTCAATAACTCACCCGAAAGCACAGCCAGGATTCAAACCCAGACACTTTGCTCCAGGGCCAAACTCTTGACCACTATAACCAAATGAAGCCAGAGTGATTCACCAGAATGAGTTCATCTCGCATCAAAACTCTGGATTATCTGTTTAAGCACCCAGACTTCCACCTCCTCATGAGCCAGGACCTTCCTCAGCCACATCTGGATCCTCAGCCCCTCACAGCACACAGCGGTAGTCAGAAAGTATGCTGAGTAAGTGGAGAACAAGTTAACATTGATTTTCACAACCACGATGTCAGACTAGCAATGGAATTGTTTTGATTCTCCTTTTATAGAGAAGAAAAATGAGATTCACAACTTCACAAGAGGGAGTGTCTTATCTAAGAATCTCTGACTGAGTTCAGCCCTTGTTTGTATTCCCTCTGCTGCCTCCACAAAAGGTTAGAGGTCACATGTTTAGATTATGAAGACCTTTTGCCATTAAAAAATGGCAAAACAAGCAAACAAAACAAACACAGCACTCATTGCCTTTCCTAGAAAAACTGTCCATTAAAAGTACTTTGAGGCTGTGCGCAGTGGCTCATGCCTGTAATTCCAGCACTTTGGGAGGCTGAGGCAGGTGGATCACCTGAGGTTGGGAGTTTGAGACCAGCCTGGCCAACATGGCGAAACCCTGTCTCTACTAAACATACAAAAATTAGCCAGGCATGATGGCAGGCGCCTGTAATCCCAGCTACTTGGGAGACCGAGGCAGGAGAACTGCTTGAACCTGGGAGGTGGAGGCTGCAGTGAGCCGAAATCATGCCACTGCACTCCAGCCTGGGCGACAGAGGGAGACTCCATCTCAAAAAAAGAAAAGAAAGTACTTTGATTATGATTATGATGTTTGCCCAACAAGCTCTATCTCTCTTTCTTTTAGTGCCTCCTAAGCCATTCAGTTCCTATTTAGCTTGACCTATGCAGGCCAGTGTGTGTGTGTGTGTGTACTGGAATGGGAACAGAGAGCAGGACTGTTAAGTCAGATGTCTACAAATCACAGTCCATGGCCATCACTGACTTGTTTCTGTCTCTAAACAAAGCATGTAAAAACTGTTTGCCTCTGCCATGAGGCAAAAGCATGCGCTTGGCATTTTTCTGAGGTCATGATGCCCTAGGATGTGGCAGTTCACGTGCCACTGAATATTGTTTACCAACTAGCTATTCAGGACACGGGGTCCCTCCTGGAGGAGTGCTTACTGCTGGCGTCGGGCCAGTGTGCTGATAACCTAGTTCTCTAAGAGATTGAAAACTCTGACTGTGTGGCCCCTGCCAATTTCATGGTGTAAATGCTCCCACCACAGCCAATTTCAAGCTACCAAGAGTTTCCCTACTGCTTCACGAAATTCCTGAAAATTTTTATGGTTACTTATTTATTTTATTGTTTTTGAAATGGAGTTTTGCTCTTGTCGCCTAGGCTGGAGTAAAATGGCACCATCTTGGCTCACTGCAACCTCCGCCTCCCAGGTTCAAGTGATTCTCCTGCCTCAGCCTCCTGAGTAACTGGGATTACAGGTGCCCACCACCACACCCAGCTAATTTTTGTATTTTTAGTAGAGATTGGGGCTTTACCATGTTGGCCAGGCTAGTCTCGAACTCCTGACCTCACAAGATCCACCCACCGTGGCTCCCAAAGTGCTGGGATTACAGGCGTGAGCCACCACGCCTGGCTCAAATTCCTGAAAATTTAATAGCCAGCATTAGTGAGCCAATACACACCAGCCCCAGCACACTGCTGTGTATAATAATTCCATGTATGGGTGGGGAGAGAAGAAATACAAGTAGTCCTTTAAGATTTTGGCTTGGCCAGGTACAATGGCTCATGCCTGTAATCCCAGCACTTTGGGAGGCTGAGTCGGGCAGATTACCTGAGGTCAGGGGTTCGAGACCAGCCTGGCCAATGTGGTGAAACCCCATCTCTACTAAAAATACAAAAAATTAGCTGGGCGTGGGGGTGGGCGCCTGTAATCCCAGCTACTCGGGAGGCTGAGGCAGGAGAATCACTTGAACCCCAGAGGCGGATATTGCAGTGAACCAAGATCACACCACTGCACTCCATCCTGGGCAAGAAAGTGAGACTCCATCTCAAAAAAAAAAAAAAAAAGATTTTGGCTTTAGGGGCCAAGGCCTGACTCCTAGGCTGTCATGGGGAATTTCCCTGTGTTTCGATGTGATGATTTTTCCTCTGATAAGAAAAGTGCAATTGTATTAATATTAGAGATGAGGAAACTGAGTTCAAGTCGTAGCCTTCTTCTAAGTCATGTATTTCTTTATTTGAATCCAAATCGTAATGGGAATAATATATCCACAGCACAGGATGTTTCATTATCTAACACACTCTGCTATAGCACTTACTACCTGGTAGGCACTGTTTAAGTACTTTACAAACTTAACTCGTTTAATCTTTATAACAACACTGTTAAGTACTATCACTAATTTAGAGATGAAAAGACTAAAATACAAGGAAGATAATGAAGTTCTTTAAGGTAACGGAGCTAGAAGGTGAGAAAGCCAGGATTTGAACCTGGCTTCAAAGTCCAAGCTCTTAGGGCCCCACACCAAAGCTAGCTGCCTGTTTTTGTGGTTTTACTGGAACACAGCCATGCCCATTCATTTACATATTGTCTGACTGCTTTTTTGTTACAACAGCAGAGTTGAATCGTTGTGACAGAGACCATAGGGCCCACAAAGCCCAAAATATTTACTATCTGGCCCTTTACAGAAAATGTTTGCTGACCCTGGCTCCGTAGTATCCTGTCTGTTTGGAGTGAGACATTGGTTATTATTTGGAGCCTGATAGTCCCCAGTGTCAAGCTGGTTGCTGGGCCAATAAGACAAGCAAAAAATAGTGTCCAGATTGTAACTATACTCTCACATTTATACCATAACAATTGTGTCAGTGAAATAGCATTCTCAAGCACAAGGCGTCAACTTCAGTAACAAACAATCCCTGCAAATGTGTATTAATAGAAATATGTATCTAGACCGGACATGGTGCTCACTCCTGTAATCCCAGCACTTTGGGAGGCCCAGGCGGGCAGATCACCTGGGGCCAAGAATTCAAGACCAGCCTGGCCAACACAGTGAAACCTCATCTCTACTAAAAATACAAAAATTAGCCGGGCATGGTGGCGGGCACCTGTAATCTCAGCTACTCAGGAGGCTGAAGCTGAGAATCGCTTGAACCCAGGAGGCAGAGGTCGTAGTAAGCCGAGATCACATCACCGCCCTCCAATTTGGGTGACAGAGCAAGACTCCATCTCAAACAAAGAAAAAAGAAATATGTCTTTGACTTCATAGGATCACAACATCTCAAGGTTGAAATTAATTCAGAGATTACTTATCCCAATCTTAACTCCTCTTGGGAATATTGCATCGAGTTTCTAAAGTTAATGCTGTAGATTCCTCTTAATCATTCCTTGAGTCCTGCAAGATGATTCCTCTGTATAGAAATGGGCTTTTTCCCAGCCTGGCCAATGTGGCAAAACCCCGTCTCTACTAAAATACAAAATTGGCCAGGCGTGGTGGCGGATGCCTGTAATCTCAGCTACTTGGGAGCTGAGGCAGGAGAATCGCTTGAACCCGGGAGGCAGAAGTTGCAGTGAGCCGAGATCACGCCACTGCACTCCGCCTGGGGGGACAGAGCGAGACTCCCTCTCAAAAACAGAAAAAAAAAAAAATAAATGGGTTTTTTGCAAAGGCATCTATTTTATGGGGCTGAGGAATCAGGCTCACATTGCCACAGCTGTCATTCTGTCTCCAAGGCAGCTCCTCCATGTGCCTGTTTCAGATGCCAAGAAGAGAAGCTCCTCAAAGCCTGTCATTCACTGGCCTGTATAGTCATTAAAAACTTTCCCTGACCTTTGCAGCTACTTCCTGTGAGCAGCCCAGGGATGGCCAGTCACTTGTGACCTACTTTCAGAGCTGGCAGTTCTGACTTCTAGAACAAACTCGGAACAAGCCCATCTACAGCTGGTTGACTGAGTTTCCTTTGGGCTCCTGGCACCAGAAAGAATTGCTCACTGGAAGGATCATAGGTGGCACTCATGTCTCACTGCCCCACTCAGGTATGTAGATTTTCATTGCCCTATAAACCACAGTCAACATCTCAAGATCTCCAGAAGGATGTTTATGATCTTCTATTTGCTAAAGACAGTTGCTTCCTTACGGTAATTGCTTTAAAAGGTGGGGCACCGTGGCTCACATGGGACCTCGTCTCTAAAAAATAAAAAAATTAGCCATGTGTGGTGGCGTGCATCTGTAGTCCCATCCCAGCTACTCAGGCTGAGGCAGAAGGATCGCTTGAGCCCAGGAGATCAAGGCTACAGTGAGCTGTGATGATGTCACTGCATTCCAGCCCGGGCGACAGAGCAAGACCCTGTCTCTAAAACAACAAAACAAAACAGAACCATTAGCTCTTCTTTTTTGTTTTGTTTTGTTTTGTTTTGTTTTCCTCAGAGCAGAGATGCCTCACTGTGATAGGTAAATTAAGGTGATACTGATTGCCAGCTCCAGTGTGGAAGTCCCGAGGTGAAGGAATTTCTTTCATAAACATTTCAAAAGTGAGTCGATCCAGAATACACCTCCACCATGAGATTACCTGTAATCTAATTCAACCTAGAAGATGGAGTCCAAACAGCTTGAGGTTCTGCAGATTTCACAACAGCAGCCACAAAATGAAAGTGAAGAAGGCTTTGGCCAGGCACGGTGGCTCACGCCTGTAATCCCAGCACTTTGGGAGGCCGAGGCGGGTGGATCATCTGAAGTCGGGAGTGTGAGACTAGCCTGATGCACGTGGAGAAACCCCATCTCTACTAAAAATACAAAAGTAGCCAGGTGTGGTGGCGCATTCCTGTAATCCCAGCTACTCAGGAGGCTGAACCAGGAGAATCGCTTGAACCCAGGAGGCAGAGGTTGCAGTGAGCTGAGATCGCGCCATTGCATTCCAGCCTGGGCAACAAGAACAAAACTCCATCTGAAAAAAAAAAAAGAAAGTGAACAAGGCTTTAAGGTGGAGCACACTAGAAACATCTTGCTATTTCCACGTGTCTCTTTGTCACTACACTCCTTAAATACACTTAAATAGCTCATATTAACAACAGACACAACCAATGTAAAACCTCTTGGGGCTTTATAAGAAGTTTCCTAAAGTTAATGCTGTAGATTCCTCATGATCATTTCAAAACTAATGTGATTTCTTTAGGGTACCTTTAATTACACTTATGACCTTGGTTTCATTTTAAAAATATACATACATTTAAAGAAGACTGAGGACCCTAAGGATCTCAAATATCCCTTCGACGGGTACCTAATAGCTGTTTTTGATTCCTGAGATACTTGGTTTTATCTCTCCTTTAGAAACAAAAATTATGCTCAGCTGTAACCTCGTCCAGCTCTACCAACTCAGATATTCACAGGCTGATTTCAAGCTCCAAGAGAAAAAGTAGAGTCACGTTTACCTTTTTATCCCCAACAACATGTAGCCATGTTCCCTCCCTAGTTCTGCATCCTCAGATCAACCAACCAGGGATCAAAAATATTTATGAAAAAAATAACAATAAAACAATAAAAAATACAGTTGACCCTTAAACAGTGTGGGTGTTGAGGGAGCCAGCCGCCATGCATTAAAAACTCTGAGTATAAGTTTCAACACTCAGGCCTGGCGAGGTGGCTCACGCCTGGAATCCCAGCACTTTGGAAGGCCAAGGCAGACAGATCACCTGAGGTCAGGAGTTTGAGACTAGCCTGGCCAACGTGATGAAACCCCATCTCTACTAAAAATACAAAAACTAGCCAGGCACCTGTAATCCCAGCTACTCTGGAGGCTGAGGCAAGAGAATCGTTTGAACCCAGGAGGCGGAAGTTGCAGTGAGCCGAGATGATGCCACTGCACTCCGCACTGGACAACAGAGTGAGACTCTGTCTCAAAATAAATACATTAATTAATAATAAATAAAAAGTACAAAAAATTAGCTGGGTGTGGTGGCACACACCTGTGGTACCAACTACTTGGTAGGCTAAGGTGAGAGGAGTGCTTGAGCCCAGGAGATCAAGGTTGCATCGAGTCGAGATCGAACCATTACACTCTGGCCTTGGCAACAGAGTGACGCCCTGTCTCAAAAAAAAAAAAAATGTTGACTCCCTAAAAACATGACTGCTAATAGTCTACTGTTGACCAGAAGCCTTACCAATAACATAGTCAAATAACACATAGACTAGTATCTACATATATTTTATGCATTCAAGACATACCTAACATTTCTTAATTTTTGCCATATTTCTAGTCTATGTGGTTCACCTGCAAGATTTTTCAAATTGTTGCCAATTTGAAAAAGGAAAAAAAAAAAAAAAAGACCATCACATTCCTGAAATACCTACTTTGGAACTTTGGAGGTGGCTTCTTACATATGTGTATTTATTTTCTTTCCCTGTTTTTCACAGAAAGGAACTAATAGAAAATATTTCTTTATGTATTGAGTTTATTTAGAACTGTTCACATCCTCTGCCCTAGATAGTTCAATTATGGAAAGCAATCCTAATTATAACATAACCTAGATACCCAAGAACAAATTCCCATTCCCACATTACAGATGAAGAAGTCCAAACACAAACAACTTGTCCAAAGTCACATAGCTGGGTAAACTGAAGAACATGGTGTTGCTCCAAAGCCATTTCTACTAACTACGACCCTATACAAAAATCTAAAACAGAAAATTCTGCTTACATGGAGATGTTCACACATATATATTTCTTTTCTTTTTAGAGATGAGGTTTCTCCATGTTGCCCAGGCTGGTCTCAAACTCCTGGCTCAAGTGATCCATCTGCCTTGGCCTCCCAAAGTGCTGGGATTACAGGCATTAGCCTGGCCGATATCATTAATAATGGGAAAAAAATGGAGGGGAGGATATCTAAAGCTCTAAAATATCAGCAAATATTCAGAAATATCTAAAATATTCAGCAAAACTGGGATATTATTTATAACACATCCAAATGATGGGGGTACTATGCAAACATTTAATAACGTATTTACAAAGGAAGGAAATAAAGATTAGAGTAGAAATAAATTAGAGAATAAAAAAAGCACCAGAGGAAATCAATGTAACCAAAACTTGATTCTTGGAAAATATCAACAAAATTGACAAACGTTTAACTAAACTGACCAAAAATTAGAGAGAAGACTCAAATTACTTACATCAAAAATGAAAGGGGCTGGGCGCGGTGGCTCACGCCTATAATCCCAGCACTTTGGGAGGCCGAGGCGGGCGGATCACGAGGTCCGGAAATTGAAACTATCCTGGCTAACATGGTGAAACCCCGTCTCTACTAAAAATACAAAAAAAATTAGCCGGGCATGGTGGCGGGCGCCTGTAGTCCCAGCTACTCAGGAGGCTGACACAGGAGAATGGCGTGAACCCGGGAGGCAGAGCTTGCAGTGAGCCGAGATCGCGCCACTGCACTCCAGCCTGGGCGACAGAGTGAGACTCCGCCTCAAAAAAAAAAAAAAAAAATTAAAGAGACCTCAGATGTTTTTGAGTGACAAAGAAAGGAAGGAGGGGAAGGAGGGAAAAAATAAAAAGGTATTGGTGGCTGGGCGCGGTGGCTCACACCTGTAATTCCAGCACTTTGGGAGGCTAAGGCAGGCAGATCACGAGGTCAGGAGTTCGAGACTAGCCTGACCAACATGGTGAAACCCCATCTCTACCAAAAATACAAAAATTAGCCAGGCATGGTGGTGCCTGCCTGTAATCCCAGCTACTCAGGAGGCAGAGGCAGGAGAATCCCTTGAACTCAGGAGGCGTACATTGCAGTGAGCTGAGATCACGCCACTGCACCCAGCCTGGGTGACAGAGCGAGACTTCGTCTCAAAAAAACAAAACAAAACAGGTATTGGTGGTACAGGCCTGTAGTCCCAGCCACTTGGGAGGGTGGGCATGGTCATATGGGCCTGCAGTCCCAGCCACTTGGAAGGCCAAGGCAGGAGGATTACTTGAACCCAAGAGTTCAAAACCAGGCCAAGCAACATAGTGAGATTCTCTCTCTAATTAAAAAAAAAAAAAAATAAAGAGAGGAATTATTATTGACTTTATAGAAATGAATGATAAATATTATAAGTAGTGGTATGCAAACAAATTAGATAACTAAAATGGATACATTTCTAGAAAGGTACAAACTATCAAAACTGACTCAAGAAGAAATAGAAAATCTAAATTGATCTAAACAAGTAAGGTGATGAAATTAGTAATCAAAAAACTTCCTGCAAAGAAAAGCCCAGGACCAGATGACCACTGATAAATGTACACAATTTTAAGGAAAATTGGTACCAATTCTTCACAAACCGTTACAAAAAAAAAGGACGAAGTACTTCCCAACTTATTCTATAAGGCCAGTACTAACCTGATACCAAACCCCTTAAAAAGATATCGCAAAAAAAGAAAACTAAAATTTATCTGCAGATACAAGGGACAGAAATAGCCAAAACAATTGTTTTTGTTTTGTTTTGTTTTGTTTTTGAGACAGAGCCTCACTCTGTCCACCCAGGCAGAGTGCAGTGGCGCAATCTCGGCTCACTGCAACCTCTGCCTCCCAGGTTCAAGTGATTTTCCTGTCTCAGCCTCCCTAGCTGCTGAGACTACAGGCACATGCCACCACACCCAGCTAACTTTTGTATTAGTGGAAATGGGGTTTCACCATGTTGACCTGGCTGGTCTCAAACTCCTGACCTTAGGTGATCCACCCCCTCCCCTGGCCTCCCAAAGTGCTGGCATTATAGGCATGAGCCACCGCGCCCAGCCTAAAACAATTGTTTAAACGAAGAAAAAATTTGAAGGACTCACTTCCAAATTTAAAACTTAACTACAGAGCTGCAGTAATCAAGACAGTGTGGTACTGGCACAAAGCTAGACATGTAGATCAATGGAATAGAATTGAAGATCCAGAAATAAACCCTTACATTTCTAGTCAACTGATTTTCAACAAGGGTGCCAAGACAATTCAATGGGAAAAAGAATAAGCTTTTTAACAAATGATGTCGAAACAACTGAATATCCATATGCAAAAGAGTGAATTGGACTCATTCCTCATACCATACACAAAACTTAAAATGGACATGATCCCAGAAACATGGGAAAGGGGTAAATAGGCAGTGACTACTAATGGATACAGAGTTTCTTTTGGGAGCAATGAAAATATTCTGAAATTAGATAGTGGTGATGGTTGCACAACTCAGTGACTATACCATAAACTGACTTTAAAAGGCTTATTTTTTAGGATGCATGACTAATATCTCAAAAATATCATTATTTTAAAAACAGTATATTTACAAAGGGCTCAAAATAACATAATAAAGGCTCTAGGCCATGATTCAGTTGTGCCTTTACTGAAACCTTATATTCCCCAGGGTACCATAATTCAGAATTATCAAATTAGACCGTGAGAAGGCTCCATATGGAATCCTGTTAATATAGTCCCTCACTGAATCACCTTAACAAAATTTCATCTGAATATTTCCCTCATAGCTTTAATCAAAGTTACTTTAGTAAATATCCATATGGAACTTACTTCTACATTTTTGCACAAATATTAAAAACATTGTCCTTCCCGTCAACATATCACTCATAGTTCCCCATATTATTAAAAAAACTTTATTATGAAAATTTAGCTACAATTTATTTCGGGAAAAGCGATTCTCCTTAGGAATTATCTTTTCTGATAATCAAAACTACAATCGATTATGATTTCTTTTTAGCCTTAGAGGAAACTCATTTGAACCATAGCAATTATGTTGATTGAAGTAATTAACATATTTGTTTATTCATTTTTTTCTTTCTGTTTTTCTGTTTTTCAATTCCTAATTTGCAAATTTTTTTGAGACAGGGTCTCACTTTGTTGCCCAGGCTGGAGTGTAGTGGCCTTGACCTCTGGGGCTCAAGCCATCCTCGCACCTCAGCCTCTCAAGTAGCTGGGACGATGGGCACACGCCACCATGCCTGGCTAATTTTTTGACGTTTTGTTGAGACAAGATCTCACTATGTGTCCCAGGATGGATATAATTTGCAATTTTATTGCATAGAATTTTGGTGTAAGTCACCTCAAACCCTGATATTCAAAGGATTTGTCAAGGAGTCTTGTCTAAGGTTCAGTATTTAATTGAGCCTCACATTAAATCAAAGTTTCTCTAACTAGGCACCATTGACATTTTGAGCTAGATGATTCTTTGCTGTGGGGGCTGGGGCTGTCCTGTGCACTGCAGGGTGTTGAGCAGCATCCTTGGCTTCTACCCACTAGATAGCAGTAGCAGCTCCTTAGTTATAACAACCAAAAATGTAATCAGACAGTGCCCGATGTCCCTGCAGGGCAAAATTACCCCCAGCTAAGAACTACTGCATTAAATCACCCTTGAAAAACTGACCCCCACCACTATTTCAGTAACTCTTGGGAAGTTCATCATGAGGCCAGGCTCGGTGGCTCACACCTGTAATCCCAACACTTTGGGAGGCCAAGGCAGGTGGATCATCTGAGGTCGGGAGTTCGAGACCAACCTGAACAACACAGTGAAACCCTGTCTATACTAAAAATAGAAAAATTAGCCAGACATGGTGGTGGGCGCCTGTAATCCCAGCTACTAGGGAGGCAAAGGCAGGAAAAGATTGCAGTGAGCTGAGATCATGCCACTGCACTCCAGCCTGAGCAACAGAGCAAAATTCCATCTCAAAAAAAAAAAAGAAGTTCATCATGTTAGATAATAGGTAGCTAGGTAGATAGATACACAGATAGATACTCACACTCTGTTCACTTACATGAGATGAATTGAAGGTGTGTCTGCACTTACTATCAATTCCTAAAGCAGAGCCGCTTCTATCTGAGTTTACATAGAAAGAATTTTCTAGGGCTGGGCCTGGTGGCTCATGCGTGTAATCCCAGCACGTTGATGAAGCTGAGGCAGGCAGATTGCTTGAGCCCAGGAGTTCAAGAGCTGCATGTGTAACATGGCAAACCCTTGTCTCTACAAAAAAACACAAAAATTAGCCAGGCATGGTGGCGCACACCTGTAGTCCCAGCTACTCGGGGGGCTGGGGCAGGAGGATCACCTGAGCCCAGGAGGTTGAAGCTGCAGTGAGATGTGACTGTGACGCTGCACTCCAGCCTGGGCGACAGAGTGACAGACCCTGTCTCAAAAAAACAAACAAAAACAAACAAACAAAAAGATTTGCCAAGAACTACAGAACTCTCGAGAGAAATGGAGAGCTTAAAAAAAAAATTCTAATCTGTTATCTCATTTGAGCCCAATAATCCATCAAAAATAAAACTGTTGTTATTTCATTTTTTAGATGAGGAAATTGAAGTCCAGAGAATAAAAATAGTCAACTTCCAGACTAAATTCCAAATTCAGTGTTGATCCTTTCACAGCGAGGGAAAATGGGTCTGTTTCTCTCCCTGTCTCTATATAACCACAAATCCCTCCCTAGGTGATCCTCCCTGGGGATGGAGTCCTAGAAAGCCAAAGACAGTCTTCTAAAGAGCCAACAGCCTAAATTGGCATTTAATCCAGTCAACATCTAGAAAATGGATTACTACTTCCCAGATTATGTTGTACTTTAATTAAAGCTCGCAAATTACTTTTAGATCTAGTTTCTCCTTTGCAAGGAATACAGGCGATAGAGGAAGAAGTTAGAGGACACTAGCAGTCACATCCAGAAGCAGGACATTCTATAAGACATGGTCTTTACTGAAGGAGCAGGATTGAAAAAAAAGACAAATGGTCTGAACTTTTCTGAAGAATCATTATCAAGAAAATAAACAATCAAAAACAAAACCATGGAGAGATGGTTTCAGAAAAAAATAGACTAGCAAAACCTCAGAATCAAATGTAATATGTGAACCTTGATTGGATCCTGGTAATGTGTAAAAGGAATTATGTTGAAGGAATTCTTAGAATGAAGGGAATTTGAATGTGGCTGGATATGAGTGTAGAGGTCAGTTTGTTAGAGTTGTAAGAATCAAAATGGAGTCACTTGTGTTTAAAAACAAAACAAAAAACTGACAAATGGAGCCAGAGAAGGCTATGAAGGGAGAGTTCTCGTGCATAAGTGCCTGAAAACAAAAACTATCACAAAAGTCTGCAAAAATTGCAACCTTGCACACAGGTCATCGGAGCCTTACACAAAAAAATACTTCTGCGAGGACATCTGCCAAAACAACTGGCTGTTCAACCTCAAACTGGCGTCACCCTTGTTACTGATCTTTGTTGGCAAGGATAATTATCTCAAAACAATTATATAATCCTCAGTTTTCCTTTAAAAACCTTCGTCTTCTTTAACCTTTACATAGTTCACTATGGCATGCATATTCCCATTGCAATGATACATACCCAGATGAATATTATTTTTTTAGAGTGCCTCTCTATTTGATATTTAGGTCAACTAGTGTTAATTTTCTGGTATAACAGGAAACTGTTCTTATTCTTAAAAGATACATGCTGAAAATATTTTGGGATAAAGTGTCATGATTGCTGTAACTTTCAAAGGGTCAACAACAACAAAACGATGATATTGGTAAAGTATTATATATAGAGAAAATATTAACATTTTTAAAAATTTAAATGAAAGATGTACAGGAGTGTGCTGTACTGGTCTTCCGTTTCTCTGAATGTATGAAACATTTCCATAATAGAAAGTTGTGGGGAGCCAGGCATGCTGGTTCACACCTGTAATCCCGGCACTTTGGGAGGCCAAGGCAAGCGGATCACCTGAGGTCAGGAGTTTGAGACCAGCCTGACCAACATAGTGAAACCCCTGTCTCTACTAAAAATACAAAAATTAGCCGGGCGTGGTGGCAGGTACCTGTACTCCCACCTACTCAGGAGGCTGAGGCAAGAGAATTGCTTGAACCTGGGAAATGGAAGTTGCAGTGAGCCGAGATTGTGGCATTGTACTCCAGCTCTGTCTCCTTTTGAGACAGCAAGACTCCGTCTCAAAAAAAAAAAAAAAAAAAAAGGAAAGTTGGGGGAAATGATCAAGCCTCCTTAATGCAGGGATTCTGAATGAGTAGTTCATGGTTCACCTTGCAGGGAGATGGGGCCCCATGGTTGTGCTTTAAGGATGCTGTGGACTCCCTACAATGTCAGCAACTGCTGTGTGCACCTGTAGCTCTCCATTTCTCTCGAGAGAAGTCCTGTAGTTCTTCGCAAATCCTTTTCAAAGGGGACTCGTGATTCCAGAAGCATCGAAGCCTTGAGGCTTGCCTGGAGATTTTAGGTCTGGTGGCTGCAGATGCATATGAGATGTGGACTGCAAGATATTTCTCTACTGTTCAAATCACGTGTTGGAGGCGACTCCCTAAAGTCATAGGATCTCAAAATTGAAAGGAGCCTTAGGAATAACCTAGTTTTCAGCACCGAAGCGAAGCTCTCAAGACTTTGTCAAAGGTCAGGCAGTTAACTTAATGGCCGCAGGAAAAGCAAAGTCCAGGTCTCCCCTCTGCTTCTGCAAAGAACCGGTTCTGTTGGTCCAGTCGCTTGAGTTCCTACATGAACCCAAAAAAACCAGTGAACATCCTTCTGCAGGCTACAAAGCACTACGATCTGCTTCCCTCCCTACCTCCTTCTCCTGACATCCCCTCCTCCTGTCCTGCCCAGGTTCACTCCTCGCCCACCACGTGGTCTGCTTAGGGCTCCCACACAGCAAGCATGTGCCCCCTTAGGGCCTGCGTCCTGGCTGCTCCCTCTCCTCGCTGCTCTTCCTCCCAGTACTCGGTTGGTTACTGCCCCATCTTCGTCAAGCTGCCCACGTCTCACCTACTCCATGTGATTTACCCTGACCGCCCTGTTCAACACTGTAACTCCCTCCACCCCCGCCCCCCACCCCACCAGCAATACTCAGTTCCGCTGCTTATTTTTCCCATAGCACGTGTCACCTTCTAATACCCTATACAATTTGTCAGTTTTTTCCATTTGAGTATAAGCTCCACCAGGGCAGAGATCTTTGTTTTATTTGCTGATATATCCCAAGAGCCTAGAGCAATGCCTGGCACAGAGAAGGTACTCAATACCGAAAACTCTTTTCTTTTTTTTTTTTTTTTTTGAGGCAGAGTCTCACTCTGTCACCTAGGCTGGGGTGCAGTGGCACGATCTGGGCTCAAAGCAACCTCTGCCTCCCAGGTTCAAGCGATTCTCCTGCCTCAGCCTCCTGAGTAGCTGAGACCACAGGCGTGCGCCACCGCACCCAGCTAATTTTTTTGTATTTTTACTAGAGATGGGGTTTCACCATGTTGGCAGGGCTGGCCTTGAACTCCTGGCCTTAAGTGATCAGCCTGCTTTGGCCTCCCAAAGTGCTGGGATTACACCACGCCCAGCCACAATACTGAAAACTTGCTGAATGAATGAATGAATATTCTCTCTCTGAAAATTAGGACATAATTCCAATTTAAGTCCCGATAAAAGGAGCCACGAAGAGGCAAAAGAATTAGGCAGGAAAGGTTGGGGTAGTGGTTACACTAGATGCTTTACAGTTATTTATAGGGCAGGACTTAAACTCTTGGTTTGATAAAATATATGAAGGAGCATATAACTGACAGCTCAGCTCCGTTTTGCAAAGTGTCAGCCAGCACTTCTCTCTACACAAAACAGATTAGTAACATCTCTTCCTGCCAGAGGGCTTACATGTTGCAATTCTCTTGTAAAAAGTTTCTGAATATTTAATAGTTGAAGTTGAATGACTTTCTAATAGGGTGTTGATTTACTACATCACTGACATAATTAAGAGGTATCAATTCAGGTCTGTTGGGATTAAGTTTATAACCCCCAAAGGTAAGCTTTCCGAGCCAAGCAAGTCAGAAAACAACAAGCACGTGATGCAGAGGAACATTGACACACCAGCTGAAGCCTCTGCAGCTGTGTTTTCCTAAGATTCCCACCTTTGCTGCAGGCCCAGTGGGTGTCACCTTGTTCTGAGTGTGGGAGTGAAGCTACGGTGAACCCACAGCGTTAAGCCCGCGGTGGGGGACCCTGTGGGGGTCCCACAAACAGTCACCCTGAAGTTTTAAGCTTGGGAAGGAGACCCTGACCTAGTATGTATGGCGGTGGTCTATTCTGATCTACGAGTGTGGGTGTGGGTATTCATTACTAAATTTCACTGTAAACTGCCAGGAAGAAAATGTCAGCCTGTGGCAACTAAACACTCCGTGTGTTTCACTAGTAATGACTTCCTCTCTTCTTTTTTTTTTTGTTTTTTTTCCTGAGACAGGGTCTTGCTCTGTCACCCAGGCTGGACTGCAGTGGCATGATCTTGGCTCCCTGCAGCCTCCACCTCCGAGGCTGAAGCAATCCTCCCACCTCAACCTTTCTGGTAGCTGGGCCTACAGACGTGTGCCACCATGCACAGCTAATTTTTGTATTTTTTGTAGAGACAGGGTTTTGCCGTGTTGCTCAGGCTGGTGTCGAACTCTTAGACTCAAAGATCTGCCCACCTCAGCCACCCAAAGTGCTAAGATTACAGGTATGAGCTGCCACTTCACCCGGCCTTTTTTTTTTTGCCTTGAGACAGAGTCATGCTCTGTTGCCCAGGCTGGAGTGCAGTAGTGCAATCGTGGGTCACTGCAGCCTTGACTTCCTGGGCTCCAGCGATCCTCCCACCTGAGCCTCCCGAGTAGCTGGGACTACAAGTGCATGACACCACACCTGGCTAATTTTATATATATATATATATACTTTTTTTTTTTTTTTTTTTTTTTTTTTGTAGAGATGGGGTTTCACCATATTGCCCAGGCTGGTCTCAAACTCCTGGGCTCAAGCAATCTGCCTGCCTCAGCCTCCCAAAGTGCTGGGATTACAAGCGCAAGCCACGCACCCAGCCTCACTAGTGACTTTTCATTGCAAGTGTGCGTGCACCAGGCACACTCCCACCTCAGGGCCTTTGCACTTGCTGTGCCCTCTGCCTCTACCAGTAGCCCTATGGCTTTTGCTTCCTTACCTTTTTCAGGTCTTTGTTTAAACATCCCCTCCTCACTGAGGCCTACAGTTGAAATCCCTTCCCCTTGGCACGCTTTATCCCCCTGTCCTGATCTGTTGTTTTTTTTTCCATAGCATGAATCACCATCTGCCATATTATAGATGGTAGTTTATTGATTGTCTATCTCCCCCTCCCCACTAGAATGTAATGTCTACAAGGGCATTTTATCCACTGTTCTCCATGTCTAGAACTTTACTGGCATATAGAATATACTTTAAAGATGTTTATCATTGAATGAATGACTCTTGCTCCACTCACAAAGTGTAAATGTGTCTCCCAAGCCTATCCTTACCCTGCTTAACACTAGTCCTGATTATCCCCCATGCCGACAGCTTGCCTGTGTGGACTCCTGCCTGCTCTCTGTGCCAGGATCCCGTGACATGAAACAGAATAAGTGCTTCATAAACGGGAGTGACACTAGGCGTGGTGGCATGCATCTGGAGTCCTAGCTACGCGGGAGGCTGAGGCAGGAGGATTGCCTGAGCCTAGGAGTTGGAGGCTCTAATGCACTTGGATAGCACCTATGAATAGCCAGTGCCCTCCAACCTGGGCAACATAGTGAGCTCTTGTCACCAAAAAAAAAAAAAAAAAAGCTAGAAGAGAATAATTTGAATATTTCTAGCACAAAGAAAAGACAAATATTTAAGATAATGGATAGCCCAGTTACACAGATTTGATCTTTACAAATTATATGAATGTATTAAATTATCATGGCTGGGTGCAGTGGCTCACACTTGTAATCCCAGCACTTTTGGAGGCTGAGGTGGGTGGATCATCTGCGGTCAGGAGTTCCAGACCAGCCTGGCAAACACGGCAAACATGTACTAAAAATACAAAAAATTAGCCAAGTGTGGTGGCAGGCACCTGTAATCCCAGCAACTCAGGAGGCCGAGGCGGGAGAATTGCTTGAACCTGGGAGGCAGAGTGCTTGCAGTGAGCCGAGACCGCACCACTGCTTTGTAGCCTGGGCAACAGAGTGAGATGCCATTTCAATAATAATAATAAACTATCACATGTAACCCCCAAATATGTACATCATTGTGTATCAATAAAAATAAATAAATGTGAATAAATGACTGAGAGTATGAATAATGCCATCCCTCCAGCGCCCTTGCACTGTGGTTCTCCAGCACCTGCTACTTAGGTTTCTTCAGATACCAGCTGCTCTGGGAGCTATACCTTGTTTCAGGATCTCAGTCACTGCCTTCAGCAGCCCACTATCTGATCCAAGCAGCCATGGATTCTCTTTTGTATCCAGTCACTCCTGTACCCTCTTCCCTTTTAGGTTTTGCTACTGTCTTCAAACTTGCTTTGAAGATTTGAGCTCCTGTGTCACCAGGTCACCCTCAGAGGCATCAGGACATGCTCTTCAAGTAAAGTCCAAATGAGGGATTAGACACTCTGGGCTTCATTTCTCAGTGTCCTCTCTCAAGAGCTAGACTATTACTTGCATTTCTCATCTCCTTGAATCATCAGCGCCTGGTGCTATCATTTAAAATAGGGAAAGTTATGAACTGGGTTAAATTTTTTTTTTTTTTTTGAGATAGAATGTCACTTTGTTGCCCAGGCTAAAGTACAGTGGTGCAATCTTGGTTCACTGCAACCTCCACCTCCCGAGTTCAAGCAATTCTCCTGCCTCAGCCTCCCAAGTAGCTGGGATTACAGGTGTTCACCACCATGCCTGGCTAGTTTTTGTGCTTTTAGTAGAGACAGGGTTTCACCATGTTGGCCAGGCTGGTCTCGAACTTATGACCTCAAGTGATCTGCCCGCCTCAGCCTCCCAAAGTGCTGGGATTACAGGCGTGAGCCACCACACCCGGCCTCAAAAAATATTTTTTTAGAAAGAAAAAAGAAAGAAACAAAAACAAATAAAATAGGGAAAGATGATTAGTAAGTCTCTTCCTTTCCAGGGCCTTAGTTTTCCTACCTGTAAAATACAGAGCATGGTATTTTTGGAGTCCATGAATCCACCAAGCACAGTATCATCTTTGCATGGTGCTTTAAAGTATATAAAACATTTTAGACAAACAAGATCTTATTTAACAAAAAAATGCCCAATAAATGTTTGCTAACAGAAATGATAATGCTGATTCTGTGTGAGCTGAAAGAAGCCTGTTGAAGGTGAATGTGTCGTCTATCATTAAGTCTGAGGACCAATTAAAGTTAAAACAAGTATGAGTCACTAAATGTTAGAATTAATTTTGAATCCCTTAGTTTAATTCCTACATGTTGTCAATGCCTGAGGGAAATGGTCTAGCCACAGGTGCCAGCTCATAAGAAACGGGAAGGCCAGGTACGGTGGCTCACACCTGCCATCCCATCATTTTGGGAGGCTGAGGCCAGCAGATCATTTGAGGCCAGGAGTTTGAGACCAGCCTGTGCAATGTAGGGAGATCTCTACAAAAAAGTAATTAGCCAGACATGGTGGTATGCACCTGCAGTCCCCGCTGTTTGAGAGGCTGAGGCAGGAGGATCACATGAGCCTAGAAGTTCGAGGCCGCAGTGAGCTATGAATGCACCATTGCACTCCAGCCTGAGCAATAGAGTGAGACCTTGCCTCAAAAATTAAAAAATAAAATAAATATAAAAATAAAACAAGAGAGAGAGGGCACCGTCTCTGTGGTACTATTTGGCTGTGTTACATAACTGGCATTTTATTTGGAAAAAAAAAATGTCCTCCAAGGGGTTCATTTCCTCAGATCAAATGTCATTCCAGGTGTTGGTATGCATTCGACGCGTGCATTCTTCAGCCCTGGTTATTCTGTTTTATTTTATGTAAAACTCTATTTCAAAATACAGGTCTTCCCAGAAGACTGGGTGCCCATTCTCCTTCAGGCTGTGCTAAATGGAAGGTGCTAAACACCTGCCTGAGGCCACGTCCAGGCCACACACCTGGGCAGGTGATGCTCCACCTCCTACCCCCAAGTGCACCCTCTGGGTAAACACAGGCTCTGCTGGGCCCCAGCCACCACCAAGTGTTCTGGTTTCACTGTTGCTAAGGATAGTGAACTTTTTAAAACAACCTTCCTTTCTTCTCTAATCTGGTAGAAAAACAAAAGCCCAGTCAGGAACCAACCAAGTGGAAGAGAGTGCAGCTGAATAAAATCAACATTGCACTTGGCTTTCTCTGACACCAGTTCCCAGAATCTCTTGAGTGATGGGAGGATCCATGCAGGGGTTGTTTTGGAGAGCCTGGCCAAGGGGTCTCTTGCAGGGCCTGAAGTCCAACATTTAAGGGAGCAGGAAAAAAGAAGAAGGAGGTTTCCTCTTCTCATATTGCTGCCTCTTCCCATCACCTCTCCTTGAACCTCAAGAAAAGGGCTGGGCACAATGGCTCGTGTCTGTAATCCCAGTGTGTTGGGAGGCTGAGGCAGGAGGATCACTTGAGGCCAGGAGTTTGAGACTAGCCTGGGCAACATAGTGAAACCCCTCCATTTCTACTTTAAATTTTTCTTTTACAGGCGGAGTGCGGTGACTCTCGCCTATAATCCCAGAATTTTGAGAGGCCAAGGTGGGCAGCTCACTTGAGCTCAGATGTTCGAGACCAGCCTGGGCAACATGGCAAAACCCCATCTCTACAAAAAATACAAAAATTAGCCAGGCATGGTGGTGTGCACCTGTAGTCCCAGATACCTGGAGGCTGAGGTGGAAGGATCACTTGAGCCTGGGAGGCAGAGGTTGCAGTGAGCCAAGATCACATCACTGCACTCCAGCCTGAGTGACAGTGAGACTCTGTCTCAAAAAAGGAAAAAAGAAAAGAAATTAAAATTAAATAAATTTTAAAAATCTTTTTTTCTTTCTTTCTTTCTTTTTCTTTTTTTCAAAGAAGTCTCCTAAGAGCCAGGCTATTAGCACTATCCTCCCTTTCAAGTGCTATACAGTGATCAGGTGAAACTGGAGAACATCTGAGTTGGGAGAGAATTCTAAGATCTCAAGTGTAAAAGCTTAATTTCACTGACTAAAAACTGAAGTCCAGAAAAGGAAAGAGGTTTTTGGCAAGGGGACACAGCCAACTGGTGGCAGAGCTGGCAATAGAACCCAGGATCCTTTTGACAACCCCCACCCCACATACACACATCCTCCCAAAGTGTGATCTTGCTCCAAAAAGCTAGCTTCTCTCCGAGTTTTCGCGTTTCTATCAGAAGCCCCCTCATCCTTTTCTTTTTCTCCCCCCTTTATGGCTATCTATCTTCTACAGGAAGGACAGAAGCCCTTTTCTTCTCAGTGAATAAGATTGGGAATCTTGGCCGCGCGCAGTGGTTCACACCTGTAATCCCAGCACTTTGGGAGGCCGAGGTGGGCAGATCCCCTGAGGTCAGGAGTTCGAGACCAGCCTGGCCAACATGATGAAACCTCATCTCTACTAAAAATACCAAACCAGCAGGGCATGATGGCGCATGCCTGTAATCCCAGCTACTCAGTAGGCTGAGGCAGGAGAATCGCTTGAACCTGGGAGGCAGAGGCTGCAGTGAGCCGAGATTGTGCCACTGCACTCAAGCCTGGGCAATAAGAGTGAAGCTCCGTCTCAAAAAATAATAATAATAAATAAAAAGATTGGGAATCTTGAGAAACTAAAAGAAAAGGGCAAATACTTAAAGAAAAAAGAAAAGACTGGGAATCTGAGAGTCATTCTTAGGTATTTTTGTTATCCCACGTGTGCAAGTAATGATTCCTATTGAGGCTTGCTTTAAAATATCTTACTCTCTATTCCACCCTTGCCTTCAGTCTGTGCCTGCTGCTGCCCCCTACCTCTGACCTCTCTCCAGGCCACCCGGTAGATAGCTAACATATTCATGATAACTTACAATTGTCATACACATACACGGCATCACTGTGCTGTGTTCTACATGTGTTACTTTATTCCTCTAAAAGACCCCATAAGCTGGGTGCCTTTATTACCCGCATTTTATAGATGAAGAAACTGAGGCTCAGTGCAGTTAAATAATATTTGTAAGATCTCACAGCAAGCAAGGAGCAGAACTGGGATTTTATTTATTTAACTTATTTATTATTATTATTATTATTATTATTATTGAGACAGAGTCTTGCTCTGTCGCCCAGGCTGGAGTGCAGTAATGTGATCTCGGCTCACTGCAGCCTCCACCTCCTGGGTTCAAGCAATTCTCCTGCCTCAGCCTCCCAAGTAGCTGGGATTACAGGCACACACCACCACACCTGGCTAATTTTTGTATTTTTAGTAGAGACAGGGTTTCGCCATGTTGGCCAGGCTGGTCTCAAACTCCTGACCTCAGGTGATCTGCCCGCCTCAGCCTCCCAAAGTGCTGGGATTATAGGGGTGAGCCACCGCGCCTGGCCGGAACTGGGATTTTAGAAGAACCAAGTGGTCTGGTGCCAAACTCCAAACTCCCAGCTGCTATACAATACTGCGTTTCTCTGAAGCACCCATACGACCATGTCACTCCTGTGCTCAAGTCTCTTCAGTGCCTCCCTTCTGACTGTGGTCGTTCAAATTCCTACTTGGGCATTAAAGGCTCTTCAGTGGTTTGTCTCTCGCTCTCCTGCAGGTAAGTTTATGCGCTTTGCTGTGTCTCACGTCCCTCCTCTATTACTTGAGTGTGATAATACCCTCTCATGAGGCTGCCACGAGGATTAAAGGAGGTCACTCAGCACAAAGTGACACAATTGGTGTTAGTGATCATTTAGTTACCTTTGTACTGTTTCTCCCAACTTACTTAGAGGACTCCTCTGACCAGAATGTTGCTGCAAATAAACAGTGCTTGTTGCTAAACTGAATGCGAATGTAAATTTTCCCTTCCTAGAAATGTTCCCCACTCCCATATGCCAACATCTCCAAATCCGTCCAAACCCAACCATCCTCCAATCACTCTACTTCACTGCCCCCACCCCCCCACTAATTGAAACTCCTGAGACACTTACTCTTTTTTTTTTTTTTTTTGAGGCAGAGTCTCACTCTTTCACCTAAGCTGGAGTGCAATGGTGCGTTCTCGGCTCACTGCAACCTCCACCTCCCAGGTTCAAGTGATTCTCCTGCCTCAACCTCCCGAGTAGCTGGGACTAGAGGCTCACACCACCATGCCCAGCTAATTTTTGTATTTTTAGTAGAAATGAGGTTTCATCATGTTGGCCAGGCTGGTTTCGAACTCCTGACCTCAAGTGATCTGTCCACCTCGGTCTCCCAAAGTGCTGAGATTATAGGCGTGATCCACCACGCCTGGCCTCGGGGACGTTTATTCTCATCATTCTTTTTTTTCCACACCACTATTTATTTACTCGTTTGTTAAGCATTTATCAAGTGCTTACTCTAATAATAACAATGCCTGTACAGACAGTCCCTGAGTTAATGGTGACTGACTTAATGATATTTTCAGTTGATGATGGGTTTACAGGGATATAACCCCATCTTACACTTGCTTGGTTATTTTTTTTTTTTTTGTCTTTTTTTTTTCCTTTCTGTGGAGAACGGCGTCTTGCTGTATTGCCCAGGCAGGTCTCGAACTTCTGGGCTCAAGCTATCCTCCCACCTCCTCCTCCCTAATAGTTGGGATTACAGGCATGAGCCACCATGGCCGGTGGACGTAACCCCAACTTAAGTCGAGGAGCATCTGTATTTGACTTGATACTTTACGAAGGGCTCCATACCACAGCTCTGCATCTGTAAATCCTCACAAAAGGCTTGGAAGGGGTTCCCATTTTTAGGCTGCCCTAGTTTTACCAGCTGGTGGTAAACCCTGGTGTCAGCACCAGCATTCCTGGGGATCCAGAGGTGATGCTGACAGGACCCCCGTCTTCAGGGCATGTATTGCTGGGTCTGTCCCGCAGACCCTGGCTGACAGATGAAATGAGTACTCAGACAGAGGTATGCAGTGTAAGAGCAGCTAGGCGACTGCCTGGCTCTAGTGTCCAGAGAGCAGCCCGAGAGCTGGAGCTGCTTGCTTTTATTCAGTGCAGGCACAATGACGAAAACCTGGAGCCAACACAACCTGCAGGTAATTAACATTTATCATTCCCTTTTCAGGCAACATCATGCACGCGGATGATCAACAGTCAGTTCCTGGTCAACATAAGTAAACAAGCCTGTTTAAGATAAATTCCCCCACACTCCCTTGTACCTACTCCTTGCCCTCTGCCCCAGGGTTATAGAACAGCTGCTTTCTGCTATTCTCCCCCCAGGCTCTGCAGAACCTTCTGACCTTTCAGAAGGTTTGCATCCTTTCCCTATAGTTTTTCCACCGCTCTGACCAGTCCCCCACAATATATAGCCTTGTATGCAAAGCCAGGCCTGTCCATGCAGGGTGACCATCCAAGGTAGACAGTGGCAAAATCTGGTGGAGGCATCAGAGATAGTGCCATCAGTTTGCTGGAACAAGCATATCAAGGAGCCTGGCAGATCTACACTTCACCAGACGGTGCCTGTAGCCAACAGGGCAGGCCCTTGCTCCAGGGAAACACTCAGAAATCAAAACTCCTTGCTCTGCTGCCAGGGAACTCTCCAGGAGATCCTCAGTGTCATCAGAAGCTGAAAAAAACAGTGCTGAGAAACGTGGCCTGCCGTCTTTCCAGCTAAGGGAGATGGCCCATTCGACCCTGGGTTGTCCTCTGCAAACGCGCTGCTGCAGGTTGCATGGCACCATCTCCTGATTGCAATTTGCTTTCCTGAGGGAGTGAACTGACTGAAATTGGATGGTAATAAGTTGCTAGGTTATTTTCCACTTTTTAGTTTATGAGGCTTATTCATTTTGCTTTAACATTAACCACTGCCTTCCTTTTAAGGAGCTGGTGAGGCAGCGCATGGCAACAGGTTCAGGGTGAGGAGTGGCACCACCTCCTTTCAGTGAGGATTTGGGAAGGGTGAAAAGCACCCTAATCTTCTCAGCCGCATGTGAACAAACCACCTGTCAAGGTGGGTCCTTCCTATAGGGAGGTTGATGTCAGCCCTTCAGGGAGGTCTCAGTTTTCTTCCTCCACTTCCTAATCCCTTCATTATAATTCCTTCCACAACAGAATAAGTTTCTTGAGCAATGCAGCAATATCCAGCAATTTTAGATAGACATTTACCTTTTGACCTAGAAATCTCACTTCTACGAATCCATCCTAAAGACACACTTTCAGCTGGATGTGGTCGCTCATGCCTGCGATCCTAACACTCTGGGAGGCTAAAGTGGAAGAATCTCTTGGGCTCAGGAGCTCAAGACCAGCCTGGGCAACATAGGAAGACCCTATCTCTAAAAAAAATAAAAATAAAAACGGCACACAGTCAAAAATTCAAAAATTAATATACATAAGGCTATTTATTACAGAAACATTGGTAGTAGCAAAAGACTGGAAATAACTCAATGCCCATCAATAGGGAACGGAGTAAATAAACTAAGATACCTACACATAATGGAGTGCCATGCAGCTTTGAAAGGAAATGAGGCATATTTCTATGTTATATGTTGTGATCACCAGAATATAACCTAATGAGTAAAAAGCCAGGTGAAGAAAATTCTGATAATATGCTATCATTGGAGAGGGGAATATGAATATACCATACATCACATAGGAGGAGAGAGGAAATAAAGTGAGAGGATTGGGATAGAAGCTAGACTTTTCTAAATATATCTTGTTTTATAGATTTATGTTGGAAGTTTGTGGATATAGTACTTTAGAAAAGTATAAAACCAAATTAGACTTGACAAAATGAAACAAGTCAATCTGTTGAGTTGATGGTGTAACTACACAGTGAGAAACTATTGCAAATGACCTTAACACTCAGGAATTCCACTGTATATTCCTAATGGGAGATCCCCTAATGACCAAACTTAAACCCAGTCCAACCAAACCAAAAAACCTTGTAAAATATCTGAAACCATTTTTAGTAATGAAATGAGAAATGTGGTCGTGTTGGTGATATGGTTTGGCTGTGTCCCCACCCCGACATCATCTTGAATTGTAACTCCCACAATTCCCACATGTCATGAGAGGAACCCAGTGGGAGGTGATTGAATTATGGGTGTGGGTCTTTCCTGCGCTGTTCCCATGATAGTGAATGACAAGATCTGATGATTTTAAAAACGGTTTCCCCGCACAACCTCCCTCTCTTGCCTGCCACCATCTATGTAAGATGTGACTTGTTCCTCCTTGCCTTCCGCTGTGATCGTGAGGCCTCCCCAGCCATGTGGAACTGTAAGTCCATTAAACCTCTTTTTCTTCCCAGTCTCGGGTATGTCTTCATCAGCAGCATGAAAATAAACTCATACAGTAAATTGGTACCAATAAAGTGGGGTGCTGCTGAAAAGATACCCAAAAATGTGGAAGCGACTTTGGAACTGGGTTATCAGGCAGAGGCTGGAACAGTTTGGAGGGCTCAGAAGAAGACAGGAAAATGTGGGAAAGTTTGGAACTTCCTAGAGACTTGTTGAATGGCTTTGACAAAAATGCTGATAGTGATATGAACAATAAGGTCCAGGCTGAGGTGGTCTCAGATGGAGATGAGGAACTTGTTGGGAACTGGAACAAAGGTGACCCTTGTTATGTTTTAGCAAAGAGACTGGTGGCATTTTGCTCCTGCCTTAGAGATTTGCAGAACTTTGAACTTGAGAGAGATGATTTAGAGTATCTGGTGGAAGAAATGTCTAAGCAACAAAGTATTCAAGAGGTGACTTGGGCGTTCTTAAACACATTCAGTTTTATAAGGGAAGCAGAGCATAAAAGTTCAGAAACTTGCAGCCTGACAATGTAATAGAAAAGAAAATTCTATTTTCTGAGGAGAAATTCAAGCTGGCTGCAGAAATTTGCATAAGAAATGGGGACCCAAATATTAATCTCCAAGACAATGGGGAAAATGTCTCCAGGGCATTTCAGAGGTCTTCATGGCAGCCCCTCCCATCACGGGACCAGAGGCCTAGGAGGAAAAAAATGGTTTCTTGGGCCAGGCCCAGGGTCTCCGTGCTGTGTGCAGCCTAGGGACTTGGTGCCCTGCATCCCAGCTACTCCAGCCATGATTAAAAGGGCCCAAGGTACAGCTCGGGCCGTGGCTGCAGAGGGTGCAAGCCTCAAGCCTTGGAAGCTTCTATGTGGAATTCAACCTGTGGGTGCACAGAAGTCAAGAACTGAGGCTTGGGAACCTCTGCCTAGATTTCAGAGGATGTATGGAAACGCCTGGATATCCAGGAAGTTTGCTGCAGGGACAGGGCCCTCATGGAGAACCTCTGCTGGGACAGTGTGGAAAGGAAATGTGGAGTTGGAGTCCCCACACAGAGTCCCAACTGGGGCACCACCTAGTGGAGCTGTGAGAAGAGGGCCACTGTCCTCCAGACCCCAGAATGGTAGATCCACCGACAGCTTGCACATGTGCCTGGAAAATCGGCAGACACTCAACACCAGCCCATGAAAGCAGCCAGAAGGGAGGGTGTACCCTGCAAAGCCACAGGGGCTGAGCTGCCCAAGACCATGGGAACCCACTTCTTGCATCAGCGTGACCCGGATGCGAGACATGGAGTCAAAGGAGATCATTTTGGAGATTTAAGACTTAACTGCCCTGCTGGATTTCTGATTTGTATGGGGACCAGAGCGCCTTTGTTTTGGCCAATTTCTCCCATTTGGAATGGCTGTATTTACCCGATACCTGTACCCCCATTGTATCTGGGAAGTAACTAACTTGCTTTTGATCTTACAAGCTCCTAGGCGAAAGGAATGTGCCTTGTCTCAGATGAGACTTTGGACTGTGGACTTTTGAGTTAATGCTGAAATGAGTTAAGACTTTGGGAGACTGTTGGGAAGGCATGACTGGTTTTGAAACGTGAGAACATGAGATTTGGGAGGGGCCAGAGGCGGGATGATATGGTTTGGCTGTGTCCCCACCGAAATCTCATTTTGAATTGTAACTCCCACAACTCCTGTGTGTCATTGGAGGAACCCAGTGGGAGGTGATCGAATTATGGGGGCAGGTCTTTCCTGTGCGGTTCTCATGATGGTAAATGAGTCTCACAAGAGCTGATCGTTTTAAAAGTGGGAGTTTCCCTGTACAAGCTGTCTCTCTTGCCTGCTGCCATTCATGTAAGATGTGACTTACTCCTCCTTGCCTTCCACAATGATTGTGAGGCCGTCCCAGCCATGTGGGACTGTAAGTTCATTAAACCTTTTTTTCTTTCCAGTCTTGCATATGTCTTTATCAGCAGCATGAAAATGGACTAATACAGTTGGTAAGACTGTTTTGCATGTATTATAGGATAAAGCAATGAGTAATTATGTTGTTTTGAAAAGTGGGATGTTTTACATCCCAGGTATGGATATAAGATCAATAAAGTTAAGTAGAAACACTTTAGTCTTACCTAAATTTGAAATAGAACTATTAGTAAGAATCCATAAAGTATTTGCTTGTAAAAAATTCTTTCTAGAAACCATCATCAATTCAAAAGCAAGCATTTCTTGCACACAGAATATGATCTCTAAATGCCATTTACTAAAAGAAAGCAGGGCTCCTTAGAAAAATGGCTGATTCCAGATCTGGGCTCCTGGGAAAGAAATGTACAAGATGAGCCTGGAACATCATATTATACACCTGATAATCAAGCATTTATCAAGAACAATAGGGTGATTTCACAAGGCAAATACCAGATATTATGTGCCTCCTGATGAAAAACATTAGTCATGAAGTAGTCTTGCCAAAATCCCTAACCTAAATCTGATCAACTACTCTAAATCCAACTTCTAGTTTACAGGAAATGTCAAGGACAGAGAACATGTTAAATCATACTGCTGGTTGCAATCACCAAAATTATTGCAGTGGCTCATGCCTATAATCCCAGCACTTTGGGAGGCTAAGGAGGGCAGATTGCTTGAGCCCAGGAGTCTGAAACCAGTCTGAAATATAGTGAGACCCCCATTTCTACAAAAAATTGAAAAATTAACCAGGCATGGTAACATGCACCTATGGTCTCAGCTACTCTGCAGCCTGAGGCAGGAGGATCGCTTGATACCAGGAGTTTGAGGGTCCCTTGAGCCATGATTGCACCACTGCATTCCAGCCTGTGTGACAGAACGATACCCTGTTTAAAAAAAAGAAAATATCACAAAGACTTAGTTGCCTATAGTCCTAGCTACTCAGGAGGATGAGGCAGGAGCATGAGGCTGGAGGATGGCTTGAGCCCAGGAGTTCCAGTCCAGACTGGGCAACATAGTAACCCCCTCCCTTAAAAAAAAAACAAAAACAAAAACAAAAAAACAGACTCAGTCAACTTGAAGAGGCCCCCACTAACCAAAGAATAAGATAATCTGAGCATCAATAAGAATTATAACTGTGATGAATTGAAGCTCATCAAATGTTTAAAACCATGAATTCATGCTTTTTAAAAATTAAATCTATTGGTCACTTTTGGTGGGTGCTAGGGATCCATTTGTTATTTTGAAAATTGGCAAATAAAGAGAGAGAAGCATTTATATTACCTTTCCAGTGACAAATATAGCTTATGTTAACTGCATAGACGATCAGGGAAACCTTTTTTGGATGTATTACAGCTATTAAACAGAGAAAGACTAGAAGGATTACAATATCACCATTTTGCCATCTTTAGTAAATTAACAGGCCTGGACTTTGATCATCAATGACGGTCAAAAGACAAATACATGAGTGCCTCCCGATGAGAAACAGTCATGAAGTAGTCTTGCCAAAAATCACTAACCTGTCTGGTCACTACTCTAAATCCAACTACTAGTTTACAGGAAATGCCAAGGACAGGGAACGTGTTAAATGATACTGCTGAATGCAGTCGCCAAAACTCAGATGGTGAGAAATTCCATGAGATAAATGACCCAGCTTCTTCAACAAATACATTACAAGCAGGAGGAACTTATCAAGTAAAAGGGATCCAAGAGGCATACTGAAGTCTATGGGTGAAAATGATGCCATGATATGATTTGCTTCAGAATAATCCAGGAAGGGATTAGTCATAAAATAAGATTAGCCATGAATTCTTTTTTTTTTTTTTTTTTTTTTTTGAGATGGAATCTCGCTCTGTCACCCAGGCTGGGGTGCAGTGGTGCGATCTCGGCTCACTGCAACCTCTGCCTCCCGGGCTCAAGCAATTCTCCTGCCTCACCCTCCCAAGTAGCTGGGACTACAGGCGTGTGCTACCACACCTGGCTAATTTTTTGTTTTTAGTAGAGACGGGGTTTCACCATGTTGGCCAAGCTGGTCTCGAACTCCTGACCTCAGGTGATCTGCCCACCTTGGCCTCCCAAAGTGCAGGGATTACAGGTGTGAGCCACTGCGCCTGGCCGAATTCTTAATTATTGAACCTAGGTGATAGAATCGTGGAAGTTTATGATACCATTCTGTCTCCTTTTATGTTAGAAATTTTCCATAGTGAAATAAATAAATAAATAAATAAACAAAAAGGAAACTAAAGACTGAAGCCACAGAAAAGCTAAACAAACAAAATAAAGACTTTCTCTCTCTTTTTTTTTGGACACAGGGTCTTGCTGTGGTGCCCAGACTACCTGGGCTGCAGTGCAACGGTGCCATCTCAGCTTACTGCAGCCTCAACCTCCCAGGCTCAAGAGATCTTCCCAACTCCTGAATAGCTGGGACTACAGGTTCGCGCTACCATGCCCAGCTAAGTTTTCCATTTTTTTGTAGAGACAGGGTCTCGCCATGTTGCCCGGTCTAGTCTCAAACTCCTGGACTCAAGTGATTCCCCTGCCTAGGCCACCCAAAGTGCTGGGATGGATTACAGGTGTGAGCCGCCATGCCTGGCCAGAAGGTGAATTTTGAAGTCAGGTCGACTCGGCTTCAGTTCTGGCTTAGCCACTCCATAACTGTGTGACAAGAGACAAGTTCTAGCTCTGAAACCCAATTTTCTCAGGAAAATGGTGACAGTACACACCACCGTTCCGTTGTATGAATTAAAGGTAACAGTTGGGCAATGCTTGGCAGAGCTCCTCGCACATAGTAACCACCTTTACTTATTGCTGGAGGGAAGGTTGTACACCCTTGGGCCTTTTCTCTTTTTGAAATAGCTGGTATGGAACTCAGGTGACAAGACTAGTGGAGGCAGGAAGAGGGACCCAGGAATTCTATCTTCCTATGGCTAAAAGGGGAAAAAGAAGCTTCCCCGCCTGGAATACTTCCTGAATCTTGCCCCTCCTCCCCATTTTTCAGGGCTCTTTTCTAGTTCTGCCTCCAGGCAAAATTAGTACCTCCTCTTTTTGCCTCAGCTTTTCCACAAGTCTATTTGAACACATCCTTTGACCCCTTTTATTGGTGTGATTTGAACCAGGCACAGTGGCTCAGGCCTGTAATCCCAGCACTTTGGGAGGCCAAGGCGGGAGGATCACTCGAGTCCAGGAGTTGGCGACCAGTCTGGGCGACATAGCAAGACCCTGCCTCTGTTTTAAAAACTTTTTTTTTTTTTGAGACAGAGTCTTGCTCTGTCACCCAGGCTGGAGTGACGTGGCGCAAACTCGGCTCACTGCAAGCTCCACCTCCTGGGTTCAAGCGATTCTCCTATCTCAGCCTCCCGAGTATCTGGAATTACAGGTGCATGCGACCATGCCCGGCTGATTTTTGTATTTTTAGTAGAGACGGGGTTTCACCACGTTGGCCAGGCTGGTCTCAAACTCCTGACCTCAGGTGATCTGCCAGCCTTGGCCTCCCAAAGCGCTGGGATTACAGGCATGAGCCACCGCACCCAGCCTTGAAAAAACAATTTTTTTAAGTAATTAAATATTAGTGTGATTTTTTTTCTGTTCTTCCTCCACTGTTCCCCAAGCTATAAACTTCCCTACAGGGCAAGAGTCTTCAAGATCTTTCTTTCTACCCAGGTGCCCAGAACAGTGTCTGGCACATTGTAGGCGCTCAAAAAAATGCTTACTGCCTCGGAAACCTGACCAGAAAAGGCCAACTGTATGTGGGGTGGGGAAGGGAATGAGAAGGGTTAACCTTTCTCCTCCACCTTCAGCTCTGTGTCAGATGATATACAAGTGGAGACTGAATCCCGTAGATTTATAGTGTGTTTTATGATGATATAAACAGAGCTTTTTTGTTATTATTAATCATCCCATTTATGCATTTCAAAAATCCACAAAAATTCATCATTAAAATTTGTTTCATACCTTCTCATCCTTTCTCTCAATAACGTAGCAGTGTTAGAATTTTGTCTCAATTCGTCATGGCCTTCAGGTAGCACTTGTCTGCTGGACACAGAGGGACAGGAATTCTCAACCTGAAGACTGCAAGTTTCAGCCACCTATGAAGTTTCAGCATCCTGATGTTGCAAAATGGTACATATACATGTGTACCTATATACATTTTTTTTTGAGACAGAGTCTTGCTCTGCTACCCAGGCTGGAGTGCAGTGGCATGATCTCAGCTCACTGCAACCTCCACCTCCCAGGTTCAAGCGATTCTCCTATGTCAGCCTCCTGAGTAGATGGGATTACAGGTGTGTGCCACCACACCCGGCTAATTTTTTATATTTTTGGCAGAGATGGGGTTTCACCACGTTGGCAGGCTGGTCTCAAACTCCTGACCTCAAGTGATCTGCCTGCCTTGGCCTCCCAAAGTGTTGGGATTACAGGCATGAGCCACCACCCCTGGCCCATATATGCATTTTTGGATAGGGTGATGGTCTGTGATTTTTCAGTCAGATGCTCTCATGGGTTCCTGACCTAACAAAGGAGAATGACTACATTCAATAGAAGAGGTGCAAAATAATGAGAAACACTAAGTGTTCACTGAGAACTCTTTCTTTTCTTTTTCTTTTTCTTTTTTTTTTTTTTTTTTTGAGACGGAATCTCACTCTGTCACCCAGGCTGGAGTGCAGTGGCGCGATCTCAGCTCACCACAACCTCCGCCTCCCAGGTTCAAACAATTCTCCTGCCTCAGCCTCCCGAGTAGCTGGGATTACAGGCATGCACCACCACGCCTGGCTAACTTTTGTTTTTTTAGTAGAGATGGAGTTTCTCCATGTTGGTCAGGCCAGTCTGAAACTCCTGACCTCAGGTGATCCACCTGCCTCGGCCTCCCAAAGTGCTGGGATTATAGGCGTGAACCACTGTGCCTGGCCTAGTGTACCCATTCTTTAAGGCCCCACTCCTGTCCCTTCTCCCTACCACTGTCCCTGCCTCTTACCCAACCAGTTGTCTTTCTCTCTTGTAAACTCCAACATTTCACATTTATCTCTTGTTATATGTGGCTAGTAACCATTGATCACCTTCCTTATGTTTGCTCATGTTTTACCTTCCCAGCTAGTCTGTATGCTTCTCGAAGGCTAGGCTCATATTGCACATCATTGTATCTTCTTTGCCCTCTGGAAGGCTAGGATCATATTGCGCATCATTGTATCTTCTTTGCCCTCTGGAAGGCTAGGATCATATTGCGCATCATTGTATCTTCTTTGCCCCCGGAGCATGGCCTGCCTAGAGGGGATATTTGGTCATTTCTTTTTCATTGATTGGTTTTATAACCACCATAATGTTTGAACTCCTTAATGTGGCCTACATGGATTGGTCTTTGCCACCCTATTTGGCCTCATTTGTGTCTCCTCCCCCTTTACATTTTATACCTAGCCATCCTCAATACCAGCCAGTTCCTTAGAAATTCCATGGGCCAAGCACAGTGGCTCATCACACCTGTAATCCCAGCACTTTGGGAGGCCGAAGCGGGCGGATCACCTGAGGTCAGTAGTTCCAGACCAGCCTGACCAACACGGTGAAACCCCATCTCTACTAAAATACAAAAATTAGCCAGTTGTGGTGGTGCACGCCTGTAATCCCAGCTTCTCGGGAGGCTGAGGCAGGAGAATCGCTTGAACCCAGGAGGTGGGGGTTGCAGTGAGCCCAGATCGCCCTACTGCACTCTAGCTTGGGTGACAGGGCAGTGACCCTGTCTCAAAAAAAAAAAAAAAGAAAGAAAGAAAGGAAAGAAAGAAGGAAGGAAGGAAGGAAGGAAGAAAGAAAGAAAAAAAGAAAGAAAGAGAAAGAAAGAAAGAGAAAGAAAGAAAAGAAGAAAGAAAGAAAGAAAGAAAGAAAGAAAGAAAGAAAGAAAGAAAGAAAGAAAGAAAGAAAGAAAGAAAGAAAAATTGCAGCCATGACACCTCACACAGCTTCCTCTGCCGGAACACTCATCTCCTCTTCTGTCTGGTTGACTCTTCTCAACATTTGCATCTCAATCTGGGAATTACTTCCTAACGAGAAGTCTTCCCCTGGACTTCATCAGAAAGTACAAATTAGTAAGATTGCGCCAGCAAAATGCGTAGTGTGTGAGAAAGCACTTAGCAAGAGGAAATGAGAAACATTCACGTCCACTTACTCATGAGCTTGCTCCAGCTTCTTCTTCTCCTGTCCCCTAGTTCCCTCTGGATGTCAGCCATCTGAAATTACTCACAGGACATCTGAATGCACTTTGTTTTATCATACAAAGTGTGCCTTTGTACACACTTTTCTTCCGTTTTTTTTCTTCCTTTTTTTTTTTTTTTTGGAGGCCAAGTGCACTGACGCCATTTCGGCTCATTGCAACCCCTGCCTCCTGGGTTCAAGCTATTCTCCTGCCTCAGCCTCCCAAGTAGCTGGGACTACAGGTGTGTACCACCATGCCTGACTAATTTTTGTATTTTTAGTAGAGATGGGGTTTCACCATGTTGGCCAGGCTGGTCTCGAACCCTGACCTCAAGTGATCCACCCACCTCGGCCTCTCAAAGTTCTGGGATTACAGGTGTGAGCCATTATGCCCAGCCTGTACACACTAAACATTTTTCATTTTTTCATTCTTCCTAGGATTCCATTTAATCCATGCCCTTCCTTCCTTCCTCCTTCCCTTCCCTCCCTTCCCCTCCCCTCCCCTCCCCTTCTCTTCCTTTCTTCCTTCTTTCTTTTCTCTTTCTTTCTCTTTCTTTCTTTCTTTTTCTTTCTTTCTTCTGTTCTTTCCTTCTTTTGTTCTTTTCTTCCTTCCTTCTTTCCTTCCTTGCTTCCATTCTTTCCCTCTCCCCCCGCCTTCCTTCCCTCTCTCTCCACACCCCTACCCCCGCCCTTCTCTTTCTTTTGAGAGTCTTACTCTATTGCCCAGGATGGAGTGCAATGGTGCCATCACAGCTCACTGCAACCTCTGCCTCCCGGGTTCAAGTGATCTTCGTGCCTCAGCCACCTGAGTAGCTGTGGGATTACAAGTATCTGCAATCAGGTCTGGCTAATTTTTGTATTTTTAGTAGATATGGGGTTTCACCGTGTTGGCCAGGCTGGTCTTCAACTCCTGGCCTCAAGTGATCCACCCACCTCGGTCTCCCAAAGTGCTGGGATTAAAGGCATGAGCCACCGCGTGGCCTAATCCATGCCCTTTCTTCACCTAATTAACTCCTACTCATTTTTCAATGCCCAGCCAAGGGGTTTGTATAATGGTGCAATTTTTGTTTGTTTGTTTGTTTTATGAGACGGTCTTGCTCTGTCACCCAGGCTGGAGTGCAGTGGTACGATTTTGGCTCACTGCAACCTCTGCCTCCCCGGGCTCAAGCAATTCTCCTGCCTCCCTCCCGAGCAGCTGGAATTACAAGTGCACACCACCACACGCTGCTAATTTTTTTGTATTTTTAGTAGAGATAGGATTCCACCATGTTGGCCAGGCTGATCTCGAACTCCTGACCTCAAGTGATCTGCCTGCCTTGGCCTCCCAAAGTACTGGGATTACAGGCATGAGCCACTGCGCTCGGCCAAATGGGGAAAATTGTAATAATTTCTACCTCCGAGGGTTGTTGTGGGAATGAAATGAATTAATGTCTATACAGTTCTTTGACTTCTTCCTGGCATATAGTAAGTGCTAAATAATTTTTAGCTATTATCAGCAACAACATCATCTTCTCTTTCATCATTATTATCAGTATATGTAATATACAAGTCTCTTGTCATTTTTCATGCTATATAGTAATTGCTTTTCATGTCTGTCTCTCCACCATCATATGTGCTCCTTTTTGATCGAATGATCCTCAAATAACGAGGTCATTCTACAGGCCCTAACAAAGCATCAACAGTCAAGGTTTGGAGCTACAGAAATCCTACAGAGAGCTGTGAAAAGAAAAACGTCAACTGGATGAAAAGGCTGTGGGAAAAGGAACAAGTAAATAAGGTTAGAAAGAATGCCTTAGAAATAGCCACAGGACTCATTCACTATTGATCACAGTGCAAGTTGACACAACCTTATTTTGTCAGGCATTTTGGTGCTTCACACGAAAATGTTATTTATTTATTTATTTATTTATTTATTTATTGGAGACAGAGTCTTGCTTTGTCACCCAGGCTGGAGTGCAGTGGCGCAATCTTGGTCACTGCAGCCTCTGCCTCCCAGGTTCAAGCGATTCTCCTGTCTCAGCCTCCTGCATAGCTGGGATTACAGGCACATGCCACCATGCCCAGCTAATTTTTGTATTTTTTTAGTAGCGATGGGGTTTCACCATCTTGGCCAGGCTGGTCTCCAACATCTGACCTCAGGTGATCTGCCCGCCTCAGCCTCCCAGAGTGCTGGGAATACAGGCGTGAGCCACCACACCCGGCCAAAAATTTTAATTACATATATCCTTAAACCGAGAAATATCACTTTTAGAAGTCTATTCAATAAAAACAATTTCTCTGGTATACAAAGATACATGAAAAGGTTAACCATCACATTACTTGTAAGAATAAAAAATTTTGAGAGGCTGAGGTGGGTGGATCACCTGAGGTCAGGAGTTTGAAACCAACCTGGCCAACATGGTGAAACCGCGTCTCTACTAAAAATACAAAAATTAGGTGGGCATGGTGGCGCACACCTGTAATCTCAGCCACTCGGGAGGCTAAGACAGAAGAATCACTTGAACCTGTGAGGCAGAGGTTGCGGTGAGCCAAGATCATGTCACTGCACTCTAGGTTGGGTGACAGAGCGAGACTCCGTCTCAAAAAAAATAAATAAATTTAAAAAAGAATAAAAAATTGGAAACAGCAGAAATGCTCATCAAGGAAAGATTAATTAAATTAATTGTGGGATTGTGCTGCATCCATACAATGAAAGACTATGGAACTATTAAAAAGGAGGTAAAGCTCTCTGTCTGGAAGCCAGAAGTCCACAACATATAGTTAAATGAAAAAGCAAGTCGCAAAATAGTCTAAATTTATTAGCCCAATTTTGGGGTCAACTTTATTGAGGTACAATTTAAATGCAATAAAATTCACCAATGTTAAGTGCACAATAAATGAGTTTTAACAAATATACCATCATATAGTCACTACCACAATCATGAAATTGATAGGATATTTTCATTACCCCCAAAAAATTACCTTGAAACATTTTTCAGTCATTCTACACCCCTACCCTCTGCCTCCTGGCAACCACTAATCTGCTTTTTATAACTAAGATTTTGGACTTTTTTTTAGCACTTCACATAAATGGAATTATATAGTAGATAGTCTTGAGTCTGACTCCTTTCACATAGCATGAAGCTTTTGAGATTCATTCGTGTTTTACATATCAGTGGTTCATTCTTTATTATTGCTGAGTAGCATTTCACTGTAAGGTTTTACTACATTTTATATATTCATTTACCAGTTCTTGGGCATTTGGATTGATTCCAGTTTTTAATGAGTATGAATAAAACCACTATAAACATTTGTGTACAGATTTATTTAATTTAACTTTTTATTTTGAAATAATTATAGATTCACATTATAAGAAATAATACAGAGATTGTTTCCTTACTTATGGAAGAAAAGAAAAAAAGAGAGATCCCTTGATCCAGCTTCCCCCAGTGGTAACATCTTGTAAAGTATAGTAACATATCACAACCAGGCTGTTGACATTGATGAAGTCAAGACACAGAGCAGTTCCATCATCACTGGGACCCCTTGTGTTGCCCTTTTATAGCCACACTCACCTCTTTCCCCGCCCCCAGCTCCTGGCAACTATTAGTCTCTTCTCCATAATTTTGTCATTTCAAGAGTGTAATATAGATAAATGTAAGCATACAATATACAATATACAATTTGTAAAGATTGGCTATTTTCACTCAGCCTAATTCCCTAGGGATTCATTACATATGAGATTCATTACATATACACACACACACACACACACACACACACACCAATAGCTTGCTCCTGTTTATTGCTGAGTAGTGTTCCGTCCTGTGCATATACCATGACTTGGTTTTTGGCTATTATGAATAAAGTCGCTATGAACAATTGGTGTGAATGTAAGTTTTCTTTTCTCTGAGATAAATGCCCAGGAGAGCAACTGTGGGTTGTATGGTAGTTTCATGCAGTTTTATTTATTTATTTATTTATTTATTTATTTATTTATTGAGACGGATTCTCCCTCTGTCACCCAAGCTGGAGTGCAGTGGCGAGATCTCGGCTCACTGCAACCTCCGCCTCCTGGGTTCAGGCAATTCTCCTACCTCAGCCTCCCGAGTAGATGGGACTACAGGCGCGCGCCACCACGCCTGGCTAATTTTTTTGTACTTTTAGTAGAGACAGGGTTTCATTGTGTTAGCCGGGATGGTCTCGATCTCCTGACCTCGTGATCCACCCGCTTCAGCCTCCCAAAGTGCTGGGATTACAGGTGTGAGCCATCACGCCCAGCCCGCACGGTTTTATTTTTAAAAACTGCTAAACCTTTTCCCAGAGTGGTTGTATCATTTCACATTCCTACCAGCAATTTTTGTGGCCCAGTTTCTCTACATCTTTGCCAGCATTTGGTGTTGTCATTATTTTTCATTTTAGCCATTCTGCTAGGCAAAAATAAAAAATATCTTTTTAACTTTTTTTTTTTTTTTTGGTATTTCTAGTACAGACGGGGTTTCACCATGTTGGCCAGGCTGGTCTCGAACTCCTGACCTCAGGTGATCTGCCTACCTCAGCCTCCGAAAGTGCTGGGATTACAGGCATGAGCCACCGTGCCCAGCCTAAAATAAAAAATATTATTATGCTACATGCAAAATGCAAAATAATATTTCACTGTGGCTTTATTTTGTATTTCCCTAATGGCTAATGATGTTGAACTCTTTTCATGTGCTTATTTGCCATCTGTATAGCTTCTTCAGGAAATGTCTGTTCATGTCTTTTACCCGTTTTCTAATTGGATTTTTTTACAAGTTTGTAAGTGTGCAAATTTGGGGGTTTCCTGAAACCACCCTCAGGTTTGGTACTTTGCTAGAATGACTATCCAAGTGATCCTCCTGCCTCAGCCTCCCAAAGTGCTAGGATTACAAGCATGAGGTACCACACCCGCCAAATAATTCTTTTTATATTCTTGATACAAATACTTTGACAGATACATATTTTGCCGATATTTTACCCCAGACTTGCCTTTTCATTTTCTTAACAGTATTATTTGAAGAGCAAATTTTTAAAATTTTTATGAAGACCTAGTCATCATATTTTCCTTTTTGTGGTCTATTTAATATATTAATATATGCCCAACCCAGGGTCACAAAGACGTTCTTCTGTATTTTATTCTAGAAAAGTTCTAGTTCTAGTTCTTACATTCCGGTCTACTTTTCATTTCAAGTTAGTTTTTGCAGATACTATGAGGTAAGGGTTGAGGCTCATTTCTTTACATATGGATATCAATAATTACAGTATGACATGTGCAAAAGAGTCCATTTTCTCAGTGAATTGCCTTGGTATCTGTAAGGAGTTACCCAAACCACACAGTCAGACGGAACAATCCCTATAAGATTGCCCTGACTTCAGACACCAACTGCGAGTTTGCGGCTTCCTAAAACCACTCTCAGATTTGGTACTTTGCTAGAATGACTCACAGAACTCAGGAAAGTGCTGTGTGTACCACTGCAGCTTTATTATAGCAATGGGATATAAATTAGAACCAGACAAAGGAAGAGACACGTAGGGTGAAGTCTGGGAGGGTTGCAAACATGAAACTGCCACTATCTTCAGGAAAGTGTTTTCCTACCAGCACTGATGTGTGATAGTCTGTTCAGAGTATTCCCAACCAGGGAAACTTACCTGAGCTCTGGTGCCCAGAGATTTTATTGAGGTTTTCTTACAAACACGATTGGTTGAGCCCATGTGGTTGTACTCAATCTCCCGCCCCCTGTTCCCTAGAGGTTGAGCTGATACCATGTGTCCCCCAGCTCCAACCGTCTTATCAGATAGTTGGTCTTCCTGCCATGGCCACCCCCAACATGTTATAGCATAAAATATCAGGTGTAGTTCCAAGGGCCCATCAAATAACAAAGACACCCTTAACACTCAGGAAATTCCAAGAGTTTAGAGATTACCTCCCAGGAGATGGGGAAAAGGCCAGGCTTCTCTATAGGAGCCACATTTCTTGCTATATAAAATCTTTGTCAAAAGCAAATATAAAATGTGGTTCATATCCACAGGTTTAGGTCATACATGTGTATGTGTAGATCTATTTCTGGTCTCTCTTTTGTTCAATGATCTACTAGATGGAATTTTCTATGTAAAGAATTCTGTAATGATTTTTTAAAAATATGGAACCCTTGCAAATTTGCATGTCATCCTTGCGCAGGGACCATGCTAATTTTCTGTCTCATTCCAGTTTTTTTTTTTTTTTTTTTTTTTGAGACGGAGTCTCGCTTAGTTGCCCAGGCTGGAGTGCAGTGGCATGATCTTGGCTCACTGCAAGCTCCACCTCCTGGGTTCACACCATTCTCCTGCCTCAGCCTCCCAATTAGCTGGGACTACAGGTGCCCGCCACCACGCCGGGATAATTTTTTTTTTAATTTTTTTTTATTTTTAGTAGAGACAGGGTTTCACCATGTTAGCCAGGATGGTCTCAATCTCCTGACTTTGTGATCTGCCCTCCTCGGCCTCCCAGAGTGCTGGGATTACAGGCATGAGCCACCACTCCTGGCCTGTCTCATTCCAGTTTTATCAAATGTGCTATTGAAATGAGTGCTGTATAATTTTTAAACAATGTGCATACAATACTTCCATAGAAAGGAAAAAATGATAAGGATATAAGGAAAAATGATCTGCTTAAGCAGAAAAAAATAATTATACATAATAGCTGAAATACAACATTAGGGAAATTTCCCAGGAAATATAGCAAAAAGATAAAGGGATATAAAATAGTAGACAAAAGGTTAGGAAGTTAAGAGTACTAGTTCAGGGGATCTTATATCTGAATACCGGTGTTTCCAGAAAGAAAAAAGAGAAAAGAAGGGACAAAGCAATCAATGTCATAATTCAACAATAGAATGAACTGTGATATTTAAGAGCCAATAAGTAGCCAGCATCATTTTAGGGAGGAAGAGAAGATTTCATTGCCTCTAGAGATGAAAAAATTGGCTATATACAAAGTTTAGGAAGCAAAATGGATTTGGACTTCGCATCAGCAACACTAGAAGCCAAAGCACAATGAAGCAGTGCCTTTAAAATTCTGAGAAATGTAACTTGCAATCTGGAATTCTATACCCAGCCATACTATCAATTGAGTATGAGAGCAGAAAAAAATATGTTCAAGTATGTAAGATTTCAAAAACTTTTATCTATCATGCACTCCTTCTCTATAAGCTACCGGAGAAGATACTCCACGCAAAGACCAAGTAAATCCAGGAGGAGAATCTAAAATAGGAGAGAAGCAAGGAGATTCCCTGGGAGGATAGTAAGGGGAAATGCCATGATAATCGCTGTGTACAACATGTGGAGAACAACCATTTCCATGTGGAAAACTGTGACTCAAGAAACAGGTTGAGAACTGTCATCACCCAAAAATCCTCACTGATATCATACCTTGTTCAAACTTGAGGACGATTTATCCATATTTGTCACAGTTTCATTACATATTATGGAAATTCCCACTCACCTCTCTACACTCTGCTGGTAGAATCGGCTGAGCGTATTCATTTCATAAAACAGCCCGTTTCTGAAGTGTTGTGCTTTAGGCCTACTCTTGAGAGCTGAATGTAGGCTAATGAGCTTAAAAGCAGAAAATACAAAGCATCCTTCCCCCTCTGACCCTATTTCTACAGGGTCTTCAGTGCCTGGCCCATCCTGCAGATCTGCCAGATGCCCAGACACAGGTGAACCCTCATGGTTAGAGACTTATCCACCTGAAACTAATGAAACGGAAGCCCTTTATTCATATATGCCCTCCCCAAGGCCCTGTACCTAATTTAGTATTTGTAATTTTGAACTTATAATCTTACAAAAGGGTCCTCCAAATTATATAATCTTCAGACCCCACAAATCCTAGATCTGCGCCTGTGTACGATTGTTTTTTTCTTTTTTTTTGGCTTTCTCCCCTCCAATTAGGAAGATAGATGCATGTTTTGTTCTGGTTTGTTTTCTTGTTTTGTTTCGTTTTTGAGACGGAGTTCCGCTCTTGTTGCTCAAGCTGGAGTGCAATGGCCAATCTCTGCTCACCCCAACCTCCGCCTCCTGGGTTCAAGCAATTCTCTTGCCTCAGCCTCCCGAGTAGCTGGGATTACAGACACACGCCACCACAGCTGGCTAATTTTTTGTATTTTTAGTAGAAACGGGGTTTCACCATGTTAGCCAGGCTGGTCTCAAACTCCTGACCTCAGGTGATCCATCTGCCTCGGCCTCTCAAAGGCTTACAGGCGTGAGCCACTGTGCCCAGCCTTGTTTTTGTTTTGAAATGGGGTCTCACTATGTTGCCCAGACTGGACCAGAACTCCTGGGTTCAAGTGATCCTCCCATTTCAGCCTCCTGAGTAGCTAGGACTACAGGCACATGCCGCCATGCCTTGCTCTTTGATCATGATTTTGTCCTCTGACTTCTCCAGAAGAGGCTTTTAAAGACTCAGGAAGGTTGAAATTACATTATAACCCAGCAACTCTATTCAGCTTGTTTTCCATGACCCAGCAACTCTATTCAGCTTATTTTCCCAGGAAATCTCATGTAATACTGGCAACAGTGCTCTTTCCTTACACAGCTAGCTTTGTGCTAGCCACTCAGTTATTCAAATCCAACCAGTAGATTGTTTAGGGATATGTCATATAGAGGGCAAAACTATAAAGCAAACAGTAACGACTGACATTAAAGGTAGTACCTGGGGAGGATGTGGTGCCCAGGGAAGCAGAGATTGCAGGGAGGCACACAGCTGAGCCTCAAGGTACTAGTGGGTGATAGGTGTTTGTCATTATTATTATTATTATTTTGAGACAGAGTCTCGCTCTGTTGGCCAGGCTGGAGTGCAGTGGCACGATCTCGGCTCACTGCAACCTCCATCTCCCAGGCTCAAGCAATTCTCCTACCTCAGCCTCCCGAGTAGCTGGGATTACAGGAGTGAGCCACCACACCCGGCTGATTTTTGTATTTTTAGTAGAGATGGGGTTTCACCATGTTGGCCAGGCTGGTCTCAAACTCCTGACCTCAGGTAATCTGCCTGCCTTGGCCTCCCAAAATCCTGGGATTACAGGCGTGAGCCACTGTGCCTGGCCTATTATTTTATTATTTTGAAAGAGGGTCTTGTTCTGTTGCCCAGGCTGGAGTGCAGTGGCGTGATCACAACTCACTGCTGCCTCTTGAGCTCTTCCCGCCTTAGCCTCCTGAGTAGCTGGGACTACAGGTGTGTGCCACTGCACTCTGCTAGTTTTATTTTATGGTTTTGTTTGTTAGTTTGGTTTTGTTGTTGTTGTTATTGTTGTTGTTGTTGTGTGTGTGTGTGTGTGTGTGTGTGTGTGTGTGTAGAGCTGGTGGTCTCATTAAGGTGCCCAGGCTGGTCTCAAACTCCTGATTTTAAGCCATCTTTCCACCTCAGCCTCCCAAAGTGCTGAGATGACAGGTGTGAGCCACTGCACCCGGCCTCGTTATTTAATCTTTAGATTGTACACATACTTTTCTCTAAATATGATACATTTTATAATTTTAAAGCCTGGAGAGGTGCCTGAAGGCTACTGTTTCCTCTCTTGGTTCAGGGCTGCAGCCAGAGAATATGTGCAGAGTCACTGTCAACAGCAAGTTAAGTATAAAAGGAAATAATGATTTTCTAACATTCTAATAAACCTGTGCTAGTTAGAGAGGATAGTGGTTACTGCAATAGAGTCCACTGTTTGCACTGGGAAGGGGTAAAGTCCAGCTGCCTTTTTCAGGCCCTCCTGGTAGAACAGCATTTTTCTGGCCCAGAGAGCATTCAGAATTTGGTCCTTACTTCCACATGTCCAGAAACTTGATTTTAGCCACTCCACTGGGACTTCTCATGCTTAGAGGGAATGCCTATGAATGAGCAGCCACTGTGAGCTCCTTGAGGGCTGAGATCATGCTTTATCCATCTCTAAATTCCCATTGCCTAGCAAAGAACCTACCTACAACAACAGAGTCCAGGGACCTTTCTGGCAACTTGCATACTCGTGTGTTCCAGACAGAACATGCATGCCTGCTCTGGAGGCACAGCTCCCTTCCTGGGGCCTGGTGGCCTGACCCTGAGGCTTAGCCCAGAGGTTAATCGCCCTTCCACCAAGGATACAGCACACCTACCTTCCTACCAGCCTCCTCATGCTGTCATTTACCCAGGCCAGGACTGGCTGCCAGCCCTGGCACAGTGCCATGCTCATAAAAAGGGCTCAGGAAATGGAAGAAGAAATATAGAAGCCCAAGTCAGAAGGCAGACTTTCTTTTCCCCCACATGGGCTACTTCGTGGTCTTTGCCTTATCTTCACATATATGATCGATCCCCCAGCCCAGCCGATAGACAGGCTTAGATATGAAGCTTCTTAGAAATGCTTTTCCGAGTAAGGTTCTGCTCTGCTTGTAGAAAGTGATGGAGAAAGTGAATGCCACCCAGCCAAATACACTCATTAGTTTACCCAGCAAAGAGTGCAGCAGTCAGAATTTCAAACACTGGAGGAAGCGGTGAGGACAAAATCCAAAGCCCTTGCCAGTCACAGGGGAGTAATTTGACCAGTTATGACCATGCTCTTCCTGCTCACAAATATATGCTGACTGCCTTCGGGACAAGCAGGTGGTTGCTTTGCCTGGGGAGCCACCAAAGCTGTGTAAGGCCTGGGCCACAGCCAGAAATAGTTTAGATTCCAAAAGCTCAGAGTCAAGGCTGCGAGAGCACTTGTTTAGTCCATCAAGAAGCAGATCAAGAAGAGAAGTGGCTTAGAAAGACAGTGACGGGGTCGGGTGTGGTGGCTCACGCCTGTAATCCCAGCACTCTGGGAGGCTGTGGCAGGCAGATCACTTAAGGTCAGGATTCCGAGACCAGCCTGGCTAGTATGGTGAAACCCTGTCTCTACTAGAGATACAAAAATTGGCCGGGCGCGGTAGCTCACACCTGTAATCCCCGCACTTTGGGAGGCCGAGGCGGGCGGATCACCTGAGGTCAGGAGTTCGAGACTAGCCTGACCAACGTAGAGAAACCTTGTCTCTACTAAAAATACAAAATTAGCCAGGCGTGCTGGTGCATGCCTGTAATCCCAGCTACTCGGGAGGCTGAAGCAGGAGAATCGCTTGAACCTGGGAGGCGGAGGCTGCGGTGAGTCGAGATCATGCCATTGCACTCCAGCCTGGGTGACAAGACTGAAACTCCGTCTCAACAACAACAACAGCAAAAAAGAGAGATACAAAAATTAGCCTGGTGTGGTGGCACACACCTGTAGTCCCAGCTAATTGGGAGGCTGAGGCAGGAGAATCCTTGAACCTGGGAGGTGGAGGTTGCAGTCAGTCAAGATTGTGCCACTGCACTCCAGCCTGGGTGACAGAGTGAGACTGTCTCAAAAAAAAAAAAAAAAGAATGAAAGACAGTGATGGAACCAAGCCGAGGATGAAGGACTCCCAACTGCCACATGTGTATTATTGTGTCTGTTACGCTCTGCATCTCTGGTCATTGCAGATCCCATGGTCAAGGGCCTTCGTCCTGCCATAGCAAGGTTTGAGTCTTCTAATTGGCATTCACATGAGGTTTATGTCTATGTAACTGCAAAAAAAACTTATTAGCTCAACTGGCCTGTTGAGTGGATAAATAGTGATTACTCTTTTCTGATTTTATCTTTGTAATGTGACAAGTTTGTGGGGTAGAAATTCTAATTTGCCATCTATTTTGCATTTATTTACATAATGAGCTCCCAAGCCCCTGAGGATATACCATGAATTAATTAGTGGAGTCTGTAATAGCCAATTCCAGTTCTGTGGAGTATTAGGACACCCACAATAAAGAGAAATGCATTATTATTATTATTTTTAGCAATTGATATACCCTAGAGGTACTAAAGCCTTTTCAGAACAAGGTGTGGTGTATATAAATGACTATGTTATCCATGTCCCGATTTAGGAAAGGAGATATTGCAGAAATTGAAGTCTGTTACCTTAAATGCCAAGGGGATTCGGCATTTCTGTCCTCCCCCTGGCTTATTCTGAAATCGAGGTGAGATGGGAAGAAGGGTAGTGACTGAGGCAGAAGGACAACCTGATTTCTAATCATTCATTCACTGGAACAACATTGCTTGAGTCAATCTATGTGTAAGGCTTTGTGTGAGGGGGTGATAGATCATTTAATAGGACCCAGGAGATCATGCTTTGAAAAACACCTGATATCTTGCATGTAGTGAAGAAAAGACACCTGCAAAAGTACCCGCTGACCCTGGGGTGGAGGTGTCCTCACCCAAAGGCCTCAACTGCTGACTTCTAGTCAAAGCTTCAACACTCACTTGCTGTGTGACTTTGAACAAATCACTTCCCCTCTCTGATCCTCAGTATCCTAGCTGTGAAATTAGAGGCAAGGAAGAACTCGCAGAAGGAATGTGGCATGTAGAAAGACCCAGAAATCCCTCTCTATGTTTTAGTCTATGGCTGTCCTCTCCATAAGGACAGTTTCAAACCTTCTCCATTCTGCTCAGATCTCCAAATCTGCACCCGATTCTCCTCTCTCTTAGCAAATGATCTGATTCCCAACTTCATAAAGAAAATAGAAGTTTCAGACTGGGTGCGGTAACTCATGCCTGTAATCCCAGCACTTTGGGAAGCCAAGGCAGGTGGATCACCTGACGTCAGGAGTTCAAGACCAGCCTGGCCAACATGGTGAAACCCCGTCTCTCCTAAAAATAAAAAATTAGCTGGGCATGGTGGCAGGCACCTGCAATCCCAGCTACTCGGAAGGCTGAGGCTAGAGAATTGCTTGAACTTGGGAGGCAGAGGTTGCAATGAGCCGAGATCGCAGCGGTGCACTCCAGCTTGGGCAACAGAGTGAGACTCCGTCTCAAAAAAAAAAGAAAGAAAGAAAATAGAAGTCTGTTGGTGTCTGGCCAGGGTGGCTCATGCCTGCAATCCCAGCACTTTGGGAGGCCAAGATAGGAGGATCACTTGAGGCCAGGAGTTTGAGACCAGCCAGGTCAACATAGCAAGACCCTATCCCTACAAAAGTAAAAAATAGAAATCTCCTGTGAGAATTGCCTCACCCTCCTGTGCCACATCTGCACCTCGTGTTGACGGAGGGAGCATCCTTTCTCATCGATGTTTAAACTACACACATTCCAGCCATCCCCATCGTAACACAAAACAAACTGATGTCTTTGTTGCTCCCAAGTTCCCCTCTGGTTGCTCGTGTATCTTTTGCTCCCTTTCCAAATGTCTTGAATGAGTTGTTCACACTGCTTGTCTTCATTCCTGACTTTCAGTCATTTCTCAGCCACCTCCAGCCAGCTCCCTCCACTGGCTCCTCCACTCCCACTCTGCCAGAGCTGGATTTGTTAAGTTGGCCAGGGACCTCTGCTGCGTGAGGAACACTGCTCGCTCTGACTTCTCAGCAAAACACAAAGCGCAGCCAGCCACTTCCTCCTTCCTGAAACACTCTCTTATTGGCTTTGAGATGCCAAACTCTCTGATTCCTCTCTGACCACTTTTCAGTTTCTTTTGCCTATTTCTTTAGCTGACTATTAAATTTGGGGGATCATAAGACCCAGTCCTGGGCCTAATTCTCTTCTCACTCTGCACGTTATCCTTAAGCAATGTCACTCATTTCCAGGTTTAAATCTGGAATCGAATCCCTTGCTTACCGGTTCCTAAGTATTTGTGATATTATTTGAGAGGGAGAAAGAGAAAGAGAGGTTTTCATCTATGGTTCTTGGTTCGTAACTCCCATAACCCTTGTTGCAGTATTTTGCTGTAACATAGGGGCATTTTAGGCCTCAGAAGCAGGCCTCAGAAAACAAAATCTCTCTGACTTTTTTTTTTTTTTTTTTTTTGAGACAGGGTCTCACTCTGTTCTCCAGGCTGGAGTGCAGTGGCATAATCATGGCTCACTGCCCCCTTGCCCTCCCCAGGCTCAGCGGTAGCCTCCTGAGTAGCTGGGACTACAGGTGTGTGCCACCACGCCTGGCTAATATTTTTTTGTATTTTCTGCAGAGAGGCAGTTTTGTTGAGTTGCCCAGGCTGGTCTCGAACCCCTCGTCTCAAGTGGTCCTATTGTCTCGGCCTCCCAAAGTGCTGGGATTGCAGGTGTGAGCCACCAGGCCTGGTCTCACTCTCTGACTTTCTCCTGCCTTCCTTTCTCTTCCCAAGGTGGAAATCTTTCCCCACATTTCTGTCTCGGAGCTGGTCATAAAGAAATTCTCTGGCCTCTCTTGTTTGACTGTAGGTCACAAGACCCTGGTTTCAGAAGAGGTCCTGCCCCGTACCTTGCGGGAAGGAGTGCTGCACGGAGGCCACGAGGGATCTGAACACACAGGCCTTGCGGGGTTTCCCCACTCAGCTTATGACTATCAGGTCATACCCTTTTCACCCAGTCACATTTCTACAGAGTTGTCAGTCATGCCCATCCAGTGAAGCCTCCATTAAGGGCCAAGAAAACAGGGCTCAGAGAGTTTCCGGATAGCTGAACACATGGAGGCTGTTGGACGGTGGCCCTCAGAGACAGCATGGAATCTCCATGCCCCCACCCGGCCTCACCCCAGGCATTTTTTTTTTTTTTTTGAGACAGAGTTTTACTCTCGTTGCCCGGGCTGGGGTGCAATGGTGTGATCTCAGCTCACTGCAACCTCCACCTTCCGGGTTCAAGCGATTCTCCTGCCTCAGCCTCCTGAGTAGCTGGGATTACAGGTGCCCGCTACCACACCCAGCTAATTTTTGTGTTTTTAGTAGAGACGGGGTTTCACCATGTTGGCCAGGCTGGTCTTGAACTCCCGACCTCAGGTAATCCACCCGCCTTGGCCTCTCAAAATGCTGGGATTACAGGCGTGAGCTACCACGCCCGGCCTCATGCATCTTTTCATCTGTATCCTTTGTAATGTTCTATACAGTAAACTGGTAAATGTACATAAGGGTTTCCCTGAGTTCTGTGAGCCACTCCAGCATATTAATCAAACCCAAAGAGAGGGTTCTGCCCAACTTGAAGCCAGTTGCTCAGAAATTCCAGAGGCCTGGACTTGTGACTACTGTCTGAAGTGGGGGCAGCCTTGGAGACTAACCCCCAATCTGAAATCTGATGAGATCTCCAAAGACAGTGTCAGAACTGAACTGGAGGACACCCAGCTGGTATCAGCTGCAGAATTGGTTGCTTGAAACCCCCACACATTTGGTCACAGAAGTCTTCCGTGTTGATTGTTGTGGTGTGAGAGCAAAGGAAATCACAATTTGTGTTTTTTCCACTCAGAGCCAGGTTCTCTGTGTTTGGGATAGGAAATACCTGGCCTCTTCCAGCCAGATGGAGAATCTGCTGTCATTTGCATTTTAAAAAATCTCTTCTGGTTTATGCATATGTGTTGATTTTACTGAATTTTAGCTAAAATGTATCGAATGCTCACTCTGTGCCGAGTGTTCTTCCAACAATTCTACAGAAATAAAATCACTTAGGCCAGGTGCAGTGGCTCACACCTGTAATCCCAGCACTTTGGGAGGCCGCGGCAGGCAGATCACCTGAGGTCAGGAGTTCAAGACCAGCCTGGCTAACATGGTGAAACCCCGTCTCTACTAAAGATACAAAAAATTAGCTGGGCAGGGTGGCGGGCACCTATAATCCCAGCTACTCGGGAGGCTGAGGCAGGAGAATCGCTTGAACCCGGGAGGCGGAGGTTGCAGTGAGCCAAGACCGTGCCACCGCACTCCAGCCTGGGCGAATAAAATCACTTAACTCTCATGGAAACCCAAGGAGATAGACACTTTAAAAATACACTTTACTTTTTAGAGCAGTTTTAGGTTCACAGTAAAATTGAGTGGAGAGTACAGAGTTCCCACGTGCCACCTGCCCCCCACCACAGGCACAACCTTACCTGCTGTCAACATCCTCCACCACAATGGTACATTTGCTCAATGAGCCTCCACTGATCATTATCACCCAAAGTTCATAGTTTACATTAACATTCACTCTTGGCGTTGTACTTTTTTTTTTTTTTTTTTTTGAGACAGAGTCTCACTCTGTTGCCCAGGCTGGAGTGCAGTGGCATGATCTTGGCTCACTGCAACCTCCACCTCCAGGGTTCAAGCAATTCTCCTGCTTCAGCCTCCTGAGTAGTTGGGACTACAGGCACCCGCCACCATGCCTGGCTAATTTAAGTATTTTTAGTAGAGATGGGGTTTCACCATATTGGCCAGGCTGATCTAGAACTCCTGACCTTGTGATCCGCCCGCCCTGGCCTCCCAAAGTGCTGGGATTACAGACGTGAGCTGCTGCACCCGGCCTGGTGTTGTACATTCTGTGAGTTTTGACAAATATATAATGACACACAGCCACCATTATAGGATTGTACAGAATCGTTTCACTGCCCAAAAAATCCACTGTGCTCCCCCTCTTCATCCCTCCTCCCCCACTGAGCACCGGCAGCCACTCAGCTTTCACTATCTCCACGGTTTTACCTTCTGCAGAATATCATATGGTTGACTCGTACAGTATGTAGCCTTTTCAGACTGGCTTCCCTCACTTAGTAATTGCATTTAAGATTTCTTTACATCCTTTCATGGCTTGATAGCTCATTTTATTTTAGTGCAACAAGATTCCATTGTCTGGATATACCACAGTTTATTTATCCATTCATCTACTTGAAGGACATCTTGGTTGCTTTGAAGTTTTGCCATTTACGAATAAAACGTCCATATGTAGATTTTCGTATGGACATATGTTTTTAATTCTTTTGGGTAAATACCAAGAAGCACAATTGCTGGATCGTATGATATTTGGACTGAATGCTTGTGTCCCCCCAAAACTCATATGTTGAAGCCATAACCTCAGTATGGCTGTTTCTGGAGATGGGCGTCTAAGAAGTAGAAGAAAATGGTTTCTCTACTTGCAGCACTTCTGACACCAAGTGTGTGGGTTCCTTCCACACCAAGAACCAATTCTCCAGATTCCAACTGAATGTCAGATGACTCAATTCAGTTCTCACACTAACTACCCAGTCAGGATCAGACCCACAGGTGAAAGGGCTCAGTCCCGCAAGACCACCCCTACTTCAGATGCTAGTCGCAAATAATGGGTCCGCAGGTGATAGAGTTTGGATATTTGTCCCCTCCAAATCTCATGTTGAAATTTGATCTCCAACATTGAAAATGGGGCCTAGTGGGAGGTGTTTGGGTGATTGGGGAGGATCCCTCATGAATGGCTTGGTACCATCCTTGAGGTCATGAGTGAGCTCTTGCCCTAGTTCCTGCAAGACCTGATTGTTAAAGAGTCTGGCATATCTGCCCCCCAACCCCCTCATGCCACCCCCGGCTTGCTTTCTCTCTTACCATCTGATCTGCACACTCAGGCTCCCCATCACCTTCCACCATGAGTGGAAACACCATGAGGCCCTCACCAGAAGCTGAGCGGTTTCTAGAACCGGGCTTCTTGTACAGCCTGCAGAACCAAGGGAAAAATGAGTCTCTTTTCTTTATAAATCACCAGCCTCAGGTATTCGTTTATAGCAACACAAATGGACAAAGACACCAGGGTCCCATACTTCTGCCTAACGTGGCTACAAAGTTGAAGGTTCCCACACGCTATCCCGCAGGTTCGATAGTTTGCTAGAATGGCTGATAGAACTCAGGGAAACACTTTGCTTCACATTGGCCAGTTTACTATAAAGGACATAAAAGAGGATACTGACAGACTGGGAGTGGTGGTTCATGCCTATAATCCCAGCACTTTGGGAGGCCAAGGTGGGAGGATTGCTTGAGCCCAGGAGTTCGAGACCAGCCTGGGCAACATAGTGAGACCCTGTCTCTCTCTGTATAAAAAAAAGATACTGACAGTCTGTTTGGGCTGCTCTGCATAAAATGGGTGGCTAATAAACAAAAAAAAATTGATTTCTTACAGTCCAGGAGGCTGGGAAGTCCAAGATAAGGGTGCCAGCGGAGTCAGTGTCTAGTGAGGATCCGCTTCCTTATAGATGGTCCTTCTTTTACTGTGTCCTTACATGGTGACACAGGGACAAAAGAGCTCTCCAGGGTCTCTCTCTCTCTTTTTATTTTTTTTTTTTTTTTTTGAGACACAGTCTTGCTCTGTTGCCCAGGCTGGAATGCAGTGGGCCACGATCTCAGCTCACTGCAACCTCTGCCTCCCAGGTTCAAGTGATTCTCCTGCCTCAGCCTCCGGAGTATCTGGGATTACAGGCGCCTGCCACCACACCCAGCTAATTTGTGTATTTTTTGTAGAGATGGGGTTTCGCCATGTTGGCCATGCTGGTCTTGAACTCCTGACCTCAAGTGATCCACCCGCCTCGGCCTCTCAAAGTGCTGGGATTCCAGGCGTGAGCCACTGTGCCTGGCCAGGCTCTCTTTAATAAAGACACTAATCCCTTTCCTGAGGGCTCCACCTTGATGACCTCATCACCTCCCAAAGGCCCTACCTCCTAATACCATCATCTTGGGTGTTAGAATTTCAACATATGAATTTTGGGGAAACGCAGTCAGGCCACAGCAGATTCAGAGGAACAGCCCAATGAAGAGGTACGTAGAGCGAGGTGCTGAGGGTCCTGAGTGCAGGAGCTTCTGTCCCCATGGAGCTGGAGTATGCCACCCTCCCACCACGTGGACTGACTCAACAACTCTGAAGCTCTCTGAACCCTGTAGTTTAGAGATTTTTTTGTGGAGACTTCATCACCTATGCATAATTATTTATGAACTCAGTCGCCAGCCCCTCCCCACTCCTCAGAGGATGGGGGATGGGACTGAAAGTTCAAGCTTCCAATCATGGCCTGGACTTTCTGGAGATGAGCCCCCATCCTGAGGCTGTCCCGGAGACCACCAGGATTCACCTCATTAGAACAAAAGATGCTCCTACCACCCAGGAAATCCCAAGGGATTTAGGAGCTCTGTGTCAGGAACCAACGGCAGAGGCTAAATAACATATTTCTTATTGTATCACAGGAATGAATCAAGGTTAAAGGAAGTTCTGATGGTGGGGCCCTGACCTGGTAGGATTAGTGTTCTTATGACACACTGGAGAGTGCTTTCTCTCTCTCCCTCCCAATCGTCTCCCTCCCCATACCCAGGCCCCAGGAGAGACCATGTGAGGGCACAGCTAGAAGGTGGCCATCCGGAGCCAGGAGGAGACCCCGCAGAAACCATATTGCCCAGATTCTTGATCTTAAACCTCTAGCCTTTATAACTGTGAAAAAAATAATTTCTTGACATTTCTGTCAAATAAACAAGCAAGCAAAAAAAGATACAAAAACAAATTAATGAATTTTTGTTGTTTAAGCCAGAAACAGTATTTTGTTATGGGGGCGTGAGCTGACTAATACATATGGTAAGAGTACATTTAGTTTTGTAAGAAACTGCCATGGCTGACATGGTTGTTCACGCCTGTAATGCCAGCACTTTGGGAGGCAGAGGCGGGCAGATCACTTGAGGTCAGGAGTTCGAGACCAGTCTGGCCAACATGATGAAACCCTGTCTCTACTAAAAATACAAAAAATTAGCCAGGTATAGTGGTGGGTGCCTGTAATCCCAGCTACTCGGGAGGCTGAGACAGGAGAATTGCTTGAACCCAGGAGGCAGAGGTTGCAGGGAGTCTAGATCATACCATTGCACTCCAGCCTGGGCAACAGGAGCGAAACTCCATCTCAAAAAAAAAGAAAAAAAGAAACTGCCAAACTGTCTTCCAAAGTGGCTGTTCCATTTTGCATTCCCACCAGCAATGAACGTGAGTTCCTGTTGTTCCTCATCCTTGCCAGCATTTGGTGTTGCCAGTGTTTTGAATTTTGGCCCTTCTAATAGGTGTTATTTTTATTTATAATCTCTAGTGCATATCATATTGAACATCTTTTTGTATGCTTATTTGCCATCTTTATATCATCTTTGGTGAGGTGTCTGTTCATGACTTTTTGCCCATTTTTAAATTGGGTAGTTTCTTTTCTCACTGTTGAGTTTTAGGAGTTCTTTATTTATTGTGGATAGCAGTCCTTTATCGGATGTGACTCTTGCAAATATTTTCTGTTGATTATCTTTTTATTCTCTTGACCTTGTCTTTCACGAGTAGAAGCTTTAAATTTCAATGAAGTCCAGCTTATCAATTTTTTTCTTTCCAGGACCATACCCTGAGTATATCTAAAAAGTCATTGCCATGCCCAGGGTCACCTAGATTTTCTCCTAAGTTATCTTCCGGGAGTGTTATAGTTTAGTGTTTTACATTTAGGTCTGTGATCCATTTTAAGTTAATTTTGTGAAGGTCTGTGTCTAGATTCGTTTTGGGGGGGCATGTAAATTTCCAGTTGTTGTAGCACTATTTGTTGAAAAGACTATTTTTTTCTCCATTGTATTGCCTTAGTCACTGTTTTTTGTTTTGTTTTGTTTTGTTGTGTGTGTGTGTGTGTGTATGTATGTGTTTTAATATAGACAGGGTCTTGCTATGTTGCCCAGGCTGGTCTCAAACTCCTGGGCTCAAGCTATCCTCCAGCCTTGGCCTCCCAAAGTGCTGGGATCACAGGCATGAGCCACCATGCCTGGCCCTTAGCCACTGTTTTAAAGCACATTTTACAGCAGGGAAAAATTAAGGAACTTTCTCCAGGAACACTCAGCAAGTACCTGGTAGATGAAATCCAATGTAAATTCTCTGATTAACTTAGGCTCTTATCTACATCTCTGTTGCCTCTCTGTTTTTTGCATATATATATATATATATATATATATATATATATATATATACTTTTTTTTTTTTCAAGACAGAGTCTCAGTCTGTCACCCAGGCTGGAGTGCAGTGGTGCAATCTTGGCTCACTATAACCTCCGCCTCCCAGGTTCAAGCGATTCTCATACCTCAGCCCCCTGAGCAGCTGGGATTACAAGCGCCTGCCACCATGCCCAGCTAATTTTTGTATTTTTAGTAGAGACGGGGTTTCACCATGTTGATCAGGGTAGTCTCGAACTCCTGACCTCAAGTGATCCCCCTGCCTCGGCCTCTCAAAATGCTGGGGTTACAGGCATGAGCCACCGAGCCCGGCCATGGTTAAATCTTTATCAGCATACTTGGTTATTTCTTAGAATAAATTTCTAGCAAGAGAATTAATTGCTGGGAGCAGCTTTCTGAACCTTTGCTCAGGTGGGCACCTTGGTCAAGTAACAGGTCACCTACCTTCTCGGAACCACAGCTGAAACGCATTTGATTTGTCTAAGTCCTGGGCCGCATGCCAGTTCTTTGTTTTTGAAGGTGTGAATTTTCATCTCTTTCAGAGTCCTCATACAGGAAATGTAGAGAAACTACAATGGGAACTGCTAGCCTGGTATCATTTTGAAACAGCAAAGTCTTGTTTAATTTGATTCTCCGGAGGTCCCTGAGCCCCTGCCATGTGACTGTCACAGAGTTATTTTGCACTCAGAGAACTCAGTCTCCTGTGTGCATCGGCACTGGGGAGGGAGGAGGGAGGCAGGAGCTTACACAGCTCTCTTGAGTGCCACGCAGACTGTGCCAAGCCATATTATAAAGGGTTTTGACAGCCCAGAGAACAGCGTAAATTAGGGTTTCAGAAGGTGGATTTGAGAGCTAACGGACAAGCGAAAGACTTGGAGAAAGGCCTAGAGATGTGGGAAGACTTTGGGGGCAAAGACCTTGTGGTCACAGTGAAAAGAATGTGTATGTGTGTGCGTATGTGTATGTGTGCGTGTGTATACTGCTGTGTTTATGTGCAGGGGATGTTTAAGAGGATATGGTTTACAACTGTGGAAAGAGTAAATGGCGTGAAGCTTTGAATGAGAGGCCAACAAGGCTAGTCCCTGTACTATAAGCAACAGGAAACTAGAGAAGGCCTTTTAAAAATAATACATAGTCCAAGCACGGCAGTCCAGCCAGGAACAAAAACAGACTGTCTATTAGGCTGTAGCTTGGTGCCAGTGTTGTTCTCTTCGCCACCCCTCTTTTCCACTGGTGATTAGGAGAGTAGAGCTGGGGGAAGATGAGCATACTCTCAGAGGCCTGAAGAATATGCAGGCCAGGGACGGTTGCTCATGCCTGTAATCCTAGCACTTTGGGAGGGTGAGACACGAGGATTGCCTGAGCCCAGGAGTTCTAGGCCAGCCTGGGCAACATAGTAAGACCCCATCTCCATTATTTAAAAAAAAATTAAATTAAAAAAAAAAGAACGTTCAACAGGTCTTCACTTTTTTTTTTTTTTTTTTTTTAGACAGAGTCTTGCTCTGTTGCCCAGGCTGGAGTGCAGTGGTGTGATCTCACCTCACTGCAACCTCCGCCTCCCGGGTTCAAGCGATTCTCCTGCCTCAGCCTCCCGAGTAACTGGGATTACAGGCACCCACCACCACACCTGGGTAATTTTTGTATTTTTAGTAGAGACAGGGTTTCACTATGTTGGCCAGGCTGGTCTCAAACTCCTGACCTCAGGTGATCTCTGGCCTCAGCCTCCCAAAGTGCTGGGATTACAGGCGTGAGCCACTGTGTCCGGCCAAGTCTTTACTTTTGATTCAGGCAATATCTAAACCCACACTGAGTGGTGTTTCCAAATCTATTCAACCGGTCTCACAGTCTAGTTCTAATCATTTCAGGAGTTTGGTGCTTTAAAAGGCAAGGGTAGTGAAGACAGGGAGGTTGAAGGCCCGACGTACAGTTACTGAAATGCACAGGGTCCTGGCTTTCATGCCCAGAGAAGTTACAATCGAATCAGCGAATCTGTTGCTAGGGAGCTGAAGCAGGCCCGATGATAGACAGAGAATTGGGGGTGGGGCAGTTTAGGAAGCTTTTCTGGGGTGTAAAAATTGCTAGTTCTGGTCAGACATGGTGGCTCATGACTGTAATCCCAGCACTTTGGGAGGCCAAGGTGAGCGGATTGTGAGGTCAAGAGATCGAGACTATCCTGGCCAACAAGGTGAAACCCCGTCTCTACTAAAAATATAAAAATTAGCTGGGCGTGGTGGTGAATGCCTGTAGTCCCAGCTACTCGGGAGGCTGAGGCAGGAGAATCGCTTGAACCCAGGAGGCAAAGGTTGCAGTGAGCCAAGATCACGCCACTGCACTCCAGCCTGGGCGACAGAGCGAGAGACTCCATCTCAAAAAAAAAAAAAATTGCTAGTTCCTTTTGTGGCTGCTCCTAATATAGCAGCCTGCTGCTCTCTCCTCTAATCTCACCGTGGCCACCACCACCTCCCAAGAAGACTGTTGCTGCATCCAAATGCTTGGCATAAACTGCCCCTGAAATCCAGCACTAACAGAAAGACACACCCTGAAACACTACACATTTTGCCGAACATTGTAGTTTGCTATCCTTTTTCAAAAGGACAAGTTTTAATAAGCCAAAGCTTGCATTCAATTCTCTTAAACCTGAAAATCTGTCTGCTCCTTGTTGGAGAGTTAGTCTTAAAGGCTGAGAAGCACTAGATAGCCATAAAATCAGGCTAATCTTCCTTGCCTTCACAGCAAGGAAGGAGAAATTCCTCAGGGAGCCCAGGACTGGGCACTGCAATTATACCCTGAAATGAAGGTTGCCGTGGCTGGAGCAGAGTTGGGAAATCCAGTCTGAAGCCTCCCTTCAGACTATGGGGGCTGCTGGGGAAGCCCTGGGGATCAGTTTCCTCCAGTCTGAATAAGTTGCTGAAGGCAAATAAAGCTCTAATTTCCCCCATTTTTTTTAACACCACCAAGAACTGAAAGAAACCCTAAGACAATCAATACACATTTCCATTTAATTCACCAGCAATTTTCTACCAAGCTTTGTACAAGATGCTATTGCAGTTGTTATCAAGAATGATACATTTAACAATGATTGGTAGGTAAGCTATGCTAATTATTTCAAACTAAAAACCATATTTTTCTCTTTTTTTCTTTTTTTAAAGTATTTTTATTTTATTTACTTATTTATTTTTGAGATGGAGTCTCGCTTTGTCACCAGGCTGGAGTACAGTGGCGCGATCTCAGCTCACTGCAGTCTCTGCCTCCTGGATCCAAGTGATTCTCCTGCCTCAGCCTCCTGAGTAGCTGGGACTACAGGCACGTGCCACCACATCCAACTAATTTTTGTATTTTTAGTAGAGACGGGGTTTCACCATGTTGGCCAGGATGGTCCCAATCTCCTGACCTCCTGATCCGCCCGCCTCGGCCTCCCAAAGTGCTGGGATTACAGGTGTGAGCCACTGCGTCCGGCCCCATTTTTTTCTTTTATTTATTTTCTTTTTTTGTTTAAAACCATATTTTTCTGATTTTCCTCTGTTTAGCAACTTATTCTGAAAAGAGTCGCAGAGTCAAATAATGTTTGCTGTTTCCTTCTCATTTTCCAGGCTTCTGTATGTTGGAGGGGCCTAGACCTCAGTCCTGGAGCCTCTTCTCATCTCTACCACTCCCTCTGTTATCTGGTCCAGTGCAGTGGCCTTCTGTATCCTTATACTCATAAATGCCCCTTCAGATTCAGATTTCCAAGGACCATCAACATGGCCATGTGGATGTTCAATAAGCATCCACAACGGCACAGTGGCTCATGCCTGTAATCCCAGCACTTTTGGAGGCTGGGGCGGGAGGATCACTTGAGGCTAGCAGTTCCAGATGAGCCTGGCCAACATGGTGAAACCCCATCTCTTCTAAAAGTACAAAATTAGCTGGGCGTGGTGGCAGGTGCCTGTAATCCCAGCAACTCAGGAGGCTGAGGCAGGAGAATCGCTTGAACCCAGCAGGCGGAGGTTGGAGTGAGCCGAGATTGTGCCACAGCACTCCATCCAGGGCGACAGAGCAAGACTCCATCTCAAAAAAATAAAAGTAAAAAAATCAGCATCTCTGACCTCATACTTTACGCACACACACCCCAATGCCTCTTCTCCCATAGTCTTCGTTATCTCCATAAACTGAAACTCCTTCCAGCTGCTTAGGCTTCGAACCTTGAAGTCATCCTATATTCCTCTTGGTCCTTCACTTCGTAGATGTCATCAGCAAACCCCACTTGCCCTACCACCAAAATATATTCAGAATCCCTCTCATCTCCTTTCTCTTTACCATCCTAGAGCAAGACATCATAATCTCACTTCTGGAGTATTCTAGCAGCCTCCTAGCTGGCCTCCGTACAGTCCGGTGGATTCTCTCTGCCACTCAAAACCTGCACAGGTTCTTTTTCCCTGGCCCTGGCCCCAGCCCCCTCCCTCTGAGTTGCTCTCCCACCCACTGTCCCTTGCCCACTCTGCTGCGGCCACTCTGGCCCTTTCCTGATCCTTGAACAAGGTAAGCGCTCTCCAGCCTTCAGCGAGCTCACTCTTCCCACAGATATCTGTGTAGCTTGATCCCTTCGCTTTCTTCACACCTCTGTGGAAATGCCACCTCAAACTACCTAAAATGGCAATGCCCTCCTCCATTGCACTCTTGCCCCCTTATTCCGCCATATTTTTCTCCATTGCACTTAGCATGACTCAGCATATTATCTACTCATTAGTTTGTTTATTGCCTGTCATCCCTCTACTAGAATATAAAGTCAGGGAGGGCAAGATCTTCATTTTGCCTGCTGCTAAACCCCCAGTGCTTGGTATCTAGCAGATGCTCAATAAATATGTGTTAAGTGGGGGATTAAAAAGCCCTTAAGGGCCCAGGCACGGTGGCTCACACCTGTAATCCCAGCACTTTGAGAGGCCGAGGTGGGTGGATCACCTGAGGTCAGGAGTTCAAGACCTGCCTGACAAATACGGTGAAACCCCATCTCTACTAAAAACACAAAAATTAGGTGGGCATGGTGGCGCGTGCCTGTGGTCCCAGCTACTCTGGAGGCTGAGGCAAGAGAATCACTTGAACCTGGGAGGCAGAGGTTGCAGTGAGCCAAGATCACACCACTGCACTCCAGCCTGGGCAACAGAGCGAGACTCTGTCTCAAAAAAGAAAAGAAAAGAAGAAAAGCCCTTAGGGTTCATTCAGTGCAAATGTGTCACTTTATAGATAAAGATACCAAGACCAGAGAGGACAGCTGTCCAGATGAGGCCACTTAGATTAATAATGGTGCTGGAACAAGTGCCTGAGTGCCTTGACACCTGGCCAGCTCTGCTACACCGAGGCCTGGGTGAAGAATGCATTTAAGTAGATGCCCAGCATGCGTGTTCAGGTGTATCATACAACACTTAGCTTTCTCTCTATAATATACTCTGATGCTTATATTCCATCTATTTCATTTTTTGAAAAATGCTGACCACACTCAATTAAATTAATTTCATGTCCTATTAATGGGTTGTGACCCAAAGTTGGGAAACAGAACACTAAGGCCAGGCGCAGTGGCTCATGCCTGTAATCCCAGCACTTTGGGAGGCCGAGGCGGGCGGATCACCGGAGGTCCGGAGTTTGATACCAGCCTGACCAACATGGTGAAACCCCATCTCTACTAAAAATACAAAAAAAAAAAAAAAAAAAAAAGAATTATCCTGGCGTGGTAGCAGACGCCTATAATCCCAGCTACTTGGGAGGCTGAAGCAGGAGAATGTCTTGAACCTGGGAGGTGGAGGTTGCGGTGAGCAGAGATTGCGCCACTGCACTGCAGCCTGGGTGACAAGAGCAAAACTCCATCTCAAAAAACAAAAAAAAGGAAAAGAAAGAAAAAAAAAAAGAAAAGAGCACAGTATATAACAGAGTGAAAAAAAAATATTGGCTGGGTGCAGTGGCTCACACCTATGATCACAGAACTTTGGGAGGCGAAGGTGGGCGGATCACCTGAGGTCAGGAGTTCGAGACCAGCCTGACCAATATGGTGAAACTCCGTCTCTACAAAAATACAAAAATTAGCTGGGCATGATGGTGGGTGCCTGTAATCCCAGCTACTGGGGAGGCTGAGGCGGGAGAATTGCTTGAACCCAGGAGGTGGAGGTTGCAGTGAGCCGATATCGCACCATTGCATTCCAGCCTGGGCGACAGAGTGAGACTCCATCTCAAAAAGAAAAAAAAAAAGAAAGAAAAAAATTCTGTACCTTTTTTAAGTACTAAGATGCATGGCTAATGCACGAAAACATTTGAAAAGTGCTAGAGTAAAATGATCTATTAACAGTAATAACTACAGTGAACTCAAGTATGCAGAGAAATAAAAAAATATCCAAGGCCTGGTTTCTTGGCCCTCGTCTCTCATGTATGTTAATCTTGAAGCATCATCTTCTCCTGGCTCCATTCTATCTCTGTCGACAGTCCTGAATTTCATGCCATTCCATATCATATTCATTTTCTTGGTTTTGTGACTTGTTTTCTGCACCAACTCATGCTTATAAATTGCCGCTCTGTACTTGCAGTCAGAACGCTGCATTCCAAAAGGAGGCAGGAGGCATGGCAAGGGTTTCCACATAGCTGACTTTGTTTTGACAGTGATGGTATCTGATGGAGTGGGAGCTGATGGCAGCCCAACGCCCAGTCTCTTTGTCCACACCAACTATTCATAGCTGGCGAAGGCGGGGAGGTACACATCAGTGTGGGGGTGAGAGACCTAGAGGCTGGTCAAATAGAGGACGGGGAATATGTGGTTATGCAGGGCACGGAGGTCAGGGTCATGTTAAAAATCAAGTATTTAACATATTGGCTGAGGCACAATAACTCTAGTCTAAATTTATCCCACTCTTCCAACTCTCTCAGGACTGACAGAGCAGCTAGTGTTACCACTCGGGAAAAAGTCAGAGCAGGGTCTAAATTTGTATCTAAAAGAAATCTCAGATGCAAGATTCAGAGAATTCCACCAGGCTCCTTCAGATGTCCTGAAAGATGCTCTGGGTAACCCGATATTGTTGGAGGACAAAACAGTTATATAAATCTAAGATAGGGTCACCTTCTTCGTTATCACTGCTGTCATCATCAACCTGGCTGGGAATTTCACTGCCAGTATACCACAGGGTCCAGGCCATTCAGACTCCCCCTGTCATGGGATAACCAGACTCCCGAGCTGGTTATTCTCCATGTGCCTCCCCTGTCCACTGCCTCTCCTGCCCTCTGTGTTTTCTATAACTGCATCACCAGAGTCCCTGTTCCCTTGGCTTCCTGTTGGGTTTGTCTAATGGGAGGCGCTGGCAAGAGATTGGAGGTTGACACATTTATTCCCTGCTCCATCCCACCCCCATCCGCGCTGGCTCAACCCTGCTTTCCTGCTGTTACATTCTTCTATGGCTCTGGCTTCTGTGGGAAGGTCCGTCTCCCATAACTCTGCTCACAACATTTCCTCCTTTGCCCCTTCAGGCCTGGTCCCCGGCCCTGGGCACCTCACCATTCTTTGTTGGTTCCTTGCCTCTGGCTACACGTTTGTGAACAGTCTCTGCTTCAAGCTTTTTTCCCCCTGTGCAAACACTTCCGGGTGTGCATCTGTTGCCTGCTGGTACCCTGACGGATGTAACTTGGTCTCACATCTATGGATGTTCAGGCCTCGCTCACAGCTGGATCTCACAGAGGCAGGACACCGTGCTGCCTTGAAATCGGAGCCCTGGCACAGGCCACTGGGTCTCTCCCTCTACCCATTCAGATCATGCACTTTTTGAGTGGCTGCAAGCAGCTGATGAGCTTAAGAAGTCTCTTATTTTGATGATGCAATTCTAGGTAGGATCAGGTGGGGCTGAAGCTCACAGCAGTAACCCCAGAAAGTCTTCCAGGCCTCACTCCTTTCCAAGAGCTCAGGAGATGCAGAAATGAGGTGGTTCAAGCTTGTCCCTAAGGGGACATAGACTCTCGTGCCTGGAAAAGCATTAAAGGTCACGCAGGCCAGCCCATTCCGTTTGTAGCTCAGGAAGCCGAGGCCCAGGAAGAAGAGACTCCCGTGGGGTCAGAGGGTAAGGTAGTGGGAGAGAGAGGATAAGAATCCAGAGCCCCTGAACATTCATCCTCAAATCTTCATGCTGGAAGGAGTATTAAAGGGCACACTGACCCCAATAAACAACAAGCCACCTGCAGTACAGGGTTTTGCCATCTACAAGGGGGGACTGCCAGAGCCTCAGTTGTCCCTGGTGTCCCCCAAACCCTAAGCCTAGCCAGGGACTCTCCAGACAAAACAGCATGGTGTGATTTGGAGTGAGGAGGCACCCTAGGGAACTCCTTTCTACTCACAGAGACTAACACCTCCTGACTCCTACAGTGACCAGCTCCCTCCTGACGGGTCAGCTTCCTGAATGGCCACACAAGGCCTGGGCTGCAGGGCCCCTCCTGTGCTCCCTAGCAATGGCCGTGTGATGAATTTTTACCAACAGAAGCAAACAGAAGTTACGGCTCACTTCCGGTTTGTGGTGGTGAAGGAAAAGCTTTGCTTTCTCTTCTGTCCACCTGGCTGGAAGCAAAGGATTCCAAGATGGTGAAGACACACATGAGCACAGCCAGGATGCCCAGTTTGGAAGACAGCTGTGTCAGAGTGCCGCCCCCACCAGCTCCACCCACATCCGACCTTGAAATGAAAGAGAAATAAATAAGTTTTTGTTGTGTCCAGAACCGCGATCGGGAGTGGGAAGGGCAGGCTACAGCCGGTGCCAACAACCCTGGTTAACACAGATATTGTGTCACTGTCCAGGTGACCCCCATTTCCCACCCATGACTCAGCTCTTCTTTTCAGACACATCTTGCAGCTCCATCTTTCTCACCCCTCCTCCCATCCTGCCCTGTCATAGGTGTCTAATGCCACCGTGCCTCTCCTCTGCCCTCTCCTCTCTTCCCTCAACATCTTTCCTCATTGTGTACCACCCGAACTACTCAAATGGCCCCTTCTCCCCTTGAAAGTGCCTTTTCCATTCTGCCAGAACCGTTTCTTTTTTTTTTCTTGCCTATGTAAGTATGAACTTTATTATTGTTTGTTTTGACTGTTTATATATATATATATATTTTTTTTTTATTATTATACTTTAAGTTCTAGGGTCCATGTGCATCATGTGCAGGTGTGTTACATGTGTATACATGTGCTGTGTTGGTGTGCTGCCCCCATTAACTCGTCATTTACATTAGGTATATCTCCTAATGCTATCTCTCACCCCTCCCCCCACCCGTTTCTTTAAAGGGCCCTCTGACCCTCTTCAGTCACCCAAACAACACACCTAGACCTTCCCCTGGAATTGTCTGGATCTCACAGTCATTGCTGGGTCCCTTAAAGCAAAGCTGCTGGTGAATAACAATATATAACAATATTCTCTTTGGGTTTGCAAATGCCCAAAGAAGTCTCTGTTATCACCTTTATTGTTTAAGAGGGACAATAATTTAAGAGGACTATTTACATGTTTTTGATAATAACAACAATAATAGCAATGACAGGAATGATAACCCAGCCTTTTTTTTTTTTTTTTTTCCCATTGTAGAAACTTCCAGTCATTCACCCTATCAATCCCTGAAAAGAGTTCTTCCTCCCTCACTCTTCCCTTCTGGGACATGACCTGGGTTTCTGCGTCTAATCTCTGAGATGCTGGGGTGGTACATCACATGGATTTTTTTTTTTAATTGCATCAGGCCATAGGGGATTTTTTTTTTTTCTTTTTCGACTGAGAAGACAATGAAATTTATGTTCTTTCCCACCCTCCTGAAGGAAGAAACATTTCAGGGGGCACCACACCTAAACATCCCGGGCGCTTCCAGCAAATCTCAGTACATGGTGAGATGCAGGAGGGAAATCACGCAGCTGAGACCTATGGTACTCCAGGAGGTTTTCGGTGACATTAGCCCAGGATTTTATCCATGTTTCTCTTGACTTGCTCCTGACTTTTTTTTTTTTCTTTTTTTTTTGACAGAGTCTCATTCTTGCCCAGGCCAGAGTGCAGTGGCGTGATCTTGACTCACTGCAACCTCTGCCCCCCCGGGTTTAAGTGATTCTCCTGCCTCAGCCTCCCAAGTAGCTGGGATTACAGGAGCACACCACCACCATGCCCAGCTAATTTTTGTATTTTTAATAGTGACGGGGTTTCACCATGTTGGCCAGGCTGGTCTCAAACTCCTGACCTCATGATCCACCCGCCTCAGCCTCTCAAAGTGCTGGAATTACAGGGGTGAGCCACCATGCCCGGCCACATATAGATTTTTATAGTTAGAAATTGTCCTGTTTAATTAATGGTGTGCTCAAATAAATATACAATCATTGCATATTCATTAATCGTCTTTCTCTCCCACCAGAATATGAACTCCATGACAGCAGGAATTGCATCTACTTTACTCCCTGCTGTCTCCCCAGGACCTATACAGAACTCAACCATCATTTGTCGAGTGAATAAATGAACAAGTGAATAAGAAAAGTAGATATGGGCCAGGCGCAGTGGCTCACGCCTGTAATCCCAGCACTTTGGGAGGCCGAGGTAGGTGGATCACCAGGTCAGGAGATTGAGACCATCCTGGCTAACATGGTGAAACCCTATATCTACTAAAAATACAAAAATTTTGCCAGGCATGGTGGCGGGTGCCTGTAATCCCAGCTACTCAGGAGGCTGAGGCAGGAGAATCGTTTGAACCTGGGAGGTGGAGGTTGCAGTGTGAGCCGAGATTGTGCCACTGCATTCCAGCCTGGGCAACAGAGTGAGACTCTGTCTCAAAAAAAAAAAAAAAAAAAGATATGGATGGGCTCTTTTTAAAAATAGGGCCCTAAGGTGTGATTTTTTTTTCTTTTTGAGATGGAGTCTTGCTCTGTTGCCCAGGCTGGAGTGCAGTGGCGCAATCTTGGCTCACTGCAACCTCCGCCTCCAGGGTTAAAGTGATTCTCCTACCTCAGCCTCCCAAGTAGCTGGGACTACAGGTGCCTGCCACCACACCTGGCCTTTTTTTTTTTTTTTTTTTTGTATTTTTAGTAGAGATGGGGTTTCACCATGTTGGCCAGGATGGTCTCGATCTCTTGACCTCGTGATCCACCCACCTCGGCCTCCCAAAGTGCTGGGATTACAGGCGTGAGCCACCGCGCCCGGTCTATGGTGTGATTTTTTACCCTCTCTATCTGCAGGAAAAGCTATGAGTCCCCAGGTGCACAGAGTATTGCCAGATAGAAGAAGGACTCTGCAGGAGAATGGCTAGGGGTTCACTTTAGCCACAGAGCAGTTTCTGACTTACGACTCACCTGACTTTCCTTTGCCCCCACTGTCACCTGAAGGGTGTATATTACCCTAGTGGTGGGATGGACGATGCATCCAGCCATCATTCAGATCACCAAACTAACTCCCCTTCCTGGATTCTAGGCTTACCATTAACCTTCTGATTGTGATTTTGGCTTCCCATGCTGATTTCCACAGCAAGAGAGAGCAGGCTGGTCAGGCTGACTCAAACGCCTGCTTCTCCCAGCATTTATACATTTCATTATAAACTCATCGCTGGACATTCTGCTCTGTCCCCTCCAGTCTCCTCTGAGTGAGTCTGCTTTGGGAGTCCCATTGACTATGGGGTGCTGAACCTACAAGGCCAGACTCTGAACAGTGGCTACGTCTGTCACAAGTTGCTGCCCCGTGAAGGTTCTCAGCAGTGGGCCAGCTGGTCCTTCCCAGGCACCTGCCAGCATTGCTGCAAGATTTGTTCCACATTTTCCCACAGATGTAGTAATGCCACTTAAAGGAGTTTATATGGAGGAGATAATTGGATACATATGTAAAGACGTATGTCAAAAAGGTATTCACTGTGGTATTGTCACCTCCCCTCAGCTGCAGGTATTGGTGGTGGCACTTTTATATCCCAGGATGTCCTCAGAGTTTGGGTGCCAGAGCCCCTCAGTCTCCACCTTCCATAGCACCAGTGGGGATTAATTGATGGTGTGGTCTCTCACTGTACGTGTAAGGGGAAGCATTGGTGACGGAGTAGCAGTTGCCTTGGTGAACTGCCGAAGCCCCGAAGTGGGTAAAGCTTTGGCTTTCACTAGTGAGTATCAGGCAGCTGTGTCTCTTCCTGGAGCCACAGGTGGAGTTCTGGTTGCAGAGCAGCAACTGGCCTGGGCAAGCTGGACCTTGGACCAGGGGCTGGTCCAGTCTTCAATTCTGGCTCTTTCCACAGGTAGGTTAGCCGGGGCAGGGTCGCAAGCTGACCCGGAAGTCAGCCAGGGTCAGGCCGGGCTCCAGGCACTGACATATCCTTGAGGTCTTCCCCTGGAGCATGGCAGCTTCTCCAGCAGCACCAATGGCCCCTTTATATTCTTTTATCCTGGAGGAGAACCACAAAGCCTCCCACCCACCTGCCCATTCTCCAGAGACCTTAGCCCCGCAATCACCCGCAAACACTTAACTACTTTGGAGGAAGCAAAGTGCTTTTAGTTTCCAAAGTTAATTCACATTCCCAAGGGTGGCCAAGATGACCTCTTTCCCTAAAGCAAGAACTAACCCCCCAAGTTAGTAAAAAACTGAGAACACCTAATCGATCAATCAATCAGAGTGTGGTTGACTATATGAAGATCTCTTCATACAATGTCTACTATGCAGCCATTAAAATGAAATTGTGGGTCTATACAAATGATTTAGTGTAGGGCCAGGCACAGTGGCTTATGCTTGTAATCCCAGCACTTTGGGAGGCCAAGGCAGGTGGATCATTTGAGGTCAGGAGCTTGAGACTAGCCTGGCCAACATGGTGAAACCCCATCTCTACTAAAAATACAAAAATTAGCCGGGTGTGGTGGCACACGCCTGTAATCCCAGCTACTCCAGAGGCTGAGGCAGGAGAATCGCTTGAACCCGGGAGGTGGAGGTTGCAGTGAGCCGAGATCATGCCACTGCACTCCAGCCTGCACAATAAGAGCGAAACTCTGTCTCAAAAATAAATAAATAAATAAATAAATAAATAGTTTAGTGTAAAGAAGAATATGACAAACTGCCTTTGTACTCTGGTCCAAACTTTGCCAAAATATGGATGCGTGAGTGCAAACGTGTGCCTGGAGAAAACGGAATGGCAGTCATCAAAATGCTCGCAGTGGTTATCTCTGGGCAGTGAGATTTCTGGTAAGTCTTCTTTATACTTCTCTGTACTATTTGAAGTTTCACAATAAGCATGTTTATCTTATCATCAGAAAAAAACTTTTTTTTTTTAATTTTGGAAGAAAAAACTTCCATTCAATTTGGTGTGCTCTAATGTGCAAAATACTGGAGTAGTGGCCAGGACAAAGTCCTATAGAAGCCAAGTGGAGAGTGGCATTGACCTTGCTGACACTGTGCGGCCAGCACGCCCTGGATCCGATAGCCTCTGCGGTAGGCCTTCCTATTTCAAGAGTCTACGATTCTAAGACGCCAAATGGTATCTCCAGATCAAAACTATTTATAAGAATCATTTCCTTCAGGATGAGTTGTAACTTCCACTTGCTACTTGTATGTTTCGATGACATCATCTCTGAGATTTATGTGAAATGACTCCTTCTCCTTGATGTTATCAAGGAGTTTGAGCAGTTGAGTTCCTTATAGTTCTTTGTGTTTAAACCATATCTGAAGAAGCTGTCATTTGTCAAGGTTTAATTGTTTCCATTATTTTTTTCCTGGTAAGTTTCCAGATATTGCTGGGCAGCTTTGATAAAGAGACCTGAAAAGAAGATGTTAAGAAATGGATGGAGCATGGCTGCAAGTTCCAGGTTCTAGCCCACATCTACTTTTTAGCTGTGTCATCTGGAGTTAGTCATTTCTTTCTGGGTATTTTCTCACTTAAAATTGGAGGGGAGGGTAAGAGGGACATTAGACAAGATTATTTTAAAGATCTTTCTGGGTATTTTCTCACATAAAATTGGAGGGGAGGGTAAGAGGGACATTAGACAAGATTATTTTAAAGATCCTGTCCTGGCCGGGTGCGGTGGCTCATGCCTGTAATCACAGCTCTTAGGGAGGCAGAGGTGGGAGGATAGCTTGAGCCCAGGAGTTCAAGACCTGCCTGTGCAATATAGTGAGACCTCCTTCTTAAAAAAAAAAACAAAAACAAAAACAAAACTTGTCCAGCTCTGTCTCCCTATGATGAGTTTTAGTTCTGAGCTTATAATAGCATATTTTATAGTCCTAGTGCCAAATATTCTTAAAGTTATCTTCATATCTAAGTCTTTCAATAAATAGAAAAGTATATTGTTGACTACGGCCTTAGAGGTCACTGCTTGAATCCTTCCCATGCCACCCTTGCTAGGTGGTCACCTTGTGTCAACTAACACCTACGGGGACAAGAAACCCCCTCCCTCCCGAGGTAGCCCATTTCTCTTTATTGGTAAAGAGCATTTAAAAGGTGTTTCTTGGCCGGGCACAGTGGCTCATGCCTATAATCCCAGCACTTTGGGAGGCCGAGGTGGGTGGATCACGAGATCAGGAGATCGAAACCAAACCCCGTCTCTACTAAAAACACAAAAAATTAGCCGGGCATGGTGGTGGGCGCCTGTAGTCCCAGCTACTCGGGAGGCTGAGGCAGGAGAATCGCTTGAACCTGGGAGGTGGAGCTTGCAGTGAGCTGAGATTGCACCACTGCACCCCAGCCTGGGTGACAGAACGAGACTCCATCTCAAAAAAAAAGGTGTTTCTTGGGAGAGCTGAAATCTGCAACCTTCTAACTTCCATTTACTGTCTGCTCTCCCGATCACTTTGCAGAGGACGCTTTTCTTTTGTCCCCTTCCCTGCACCCTTTGCAGCCTCAGAGAAGGTGTTTCTAATTCCCTGATGTTGGAGAAGGAGGTTTTCCCTTTTCTATTTTGTTTTATTTGTATTTTTTCTGGTGAAAAGATACATATATACCTTTAGAATTAGCAAGCTGGACTCAGATTAGATGATCCCAATTTTGTTGGCAACATCCAAAGCATGGTCATCAGGAGCCAGTGGACACATGCCTTCTTCTCTCCATCAGGTCGACTCAGTGTTGGCCTTGGCCACACCAATGTCATGGAGCTTGCTCCCTTCTTCTCTCCATCAGGTCGACTCAGTGTTGGCCTTGGCCACATTGATGTCATGGAGCTCCCTCCCTTCTTCTCTCCATCAGGTTGACTCAGTGTTGACCTTGGCCACACAGATGTCATGGAACTCCTTCATAGCCTGTTCCATCTGGTGCTTGTTGGCTTTAACATCCACAGTGAACACAAGTGTGTTGCCTTCTGTCTTCATGGCTGCTTCTCCAGCAGTGCCAATGGCCCCCCTCCCTTTTTTTTTTGGAGATGGAGTCTCACTCTGTTGCCAGGCTGGAGTGCTATGGCATGATCTTGGCTCACTGCAACCTCTGCCTCCCAGGTTCAAGCAATTCTCCTGCCTCAGCCTCCTGAGTAGCTGGGACTACAGGTATGCACCACCATGCCCGGCTAATTTTGTATTTTTAATAAAGACGGGGTTTCACCATGTTGGCCAGGCTGGTCTTGAACTCCTGACCTCAGGTGATGCCCCCGCCTCGGCCTCCCAAAGTGCTGGGATTACAGGCATGAGCCACCGTACCCAGCCACCAATGGCCCTTTTATACTTTTTGTTCTTGGATGAGAACCACAAAGCCTCCCACGCACCTGCTCATTCTCCAGAGACCTTAGTCCTGCAATCTCCTCATGGTCAGTGGGAACTTGAGGCTGGCATAGTGGTCAAACTTGTTTCTTCTGAGGGCACTCTTCCAAGGATATTTGGGCTACCTGTGGTGTCGCAGTGTCTTGGGCCACCAGATGTGGATGACTGGTCTCTGGGGAATGGGCAGGTGCGATGGAGGCTTTGTCCTGTGGACACCTTTCAGCACTGCCTTCTTGGCCCTTAAAGTCTTCACTTTGGCTTTGGCTTGAGGAGGGGCAGGAGCTTCCTTCTTCGCCTTGAGTGCCATCTTGTGAAAAGTTCTTTCCTATTTTAGACTTCAGCACCTGAACAAGAGTGGGCAGATATGTACTCCAAGCTCCAATGATGACCGTGAACCCTACAGAGTTGGAAGTGTGGAAAGCGAGGCATTGTGTCCCTTGTCTGAGACTTTGTCCTTTTGCCCTCAGCAAAAGTCTGGACCTCACTGAGCTGCCCTACAACCATGTGACTGTCCCTTCCTTTTCTAATGCTGGCCTTTCTCCCTTCTCATATTCCCCCTTTCTTCTGTAGCCCTAGTGGGGTCCCTGCATCTCCCAACTCCATTTTTCTGAGTCACCAACACTCTTATCAGAAATATCCTGGCCCTAGTTCTCTCTTGTCCCTATAAATTGTGCAGCCTCCAGCATCTCTCTCTGCTGTCCTCACTTTCTGTCACTGGGTACAGAGAAGAGGTAGCTCTGAGACCCAAGAGTGGACATAAAGGACATTCAGGATAAAAGGGACTCCCATTTCAAAGTGCAGTTTGCTCTCCCCCAAATATGTTAGCAAAAAAATTAGACCCATCTTGCACCTCAAGGATTAGTTAACTTTCAAAGGGGCTACATAAGTACTTCGCATTCCTTTTGTCAACACAGCTTTAATCTTTCACTTTGTAGAACAGAGGTCCCGCTGCCTTCTCAACCCTAGGTCTTTATCACAATGTGCTTTTCCATTAACTCGGGGAAATTATGCTCACATGTTCCTGCCTAATTCTTGGGTTCCTACAGTGGATGGGAAGGTAGGAAATGGGAGAGGCTTTGAAGAGAAAGGTTTTTATGTTTGCAGCAGCCAGGGTTCAACTACAGAAACAGAGCAAGTAGGATATGTATGCTGATATATGAAGAGGTTCCATGCAAGGAATTGGTTTATGCAATGGTGGGGGATGGCTAGGTAAGTCTGAAAGCCCCAGGGCAGTCCATCAGGAAGGACATGCAAGTTCTCAGGTGGAATTTCTTTTTCCTCAGGGAAACCTCAGCCCTGCTCTTAAGATCTTTCACCCGGCGGCTCACGCCTGTAATCCCAGCACTTTGGAGGCGAGCAGATCACTTGAGCCCAGGAGTTCAAGACCAGCCTGGGCAACATGGTGAAACACTATCTCTATAAAAAATGCAAAAAAAGGCCGGGCACAGTGGCTCACGCCTGTAATCCCAGCACTTTGGGAGGCCAAGGCAGGTGGATCATGAGGTCAGGAGATCGAGACCAACCTGGCTAACAAGGTGAAACCCCGTCTCTACTAAAAAAATGAAAAAATTAGCCGGTCGTGGTGGCGGACGCCTGTAGTCCCAGCTACTTGGGAGACTGAGGCAGGAGAATGGCATGAACCCAGGAGGCTGAGCTTGCAGTGAGCCAAGATCACACCACTGCACTCCAGCCTGGGCAACAGAGCGAAACTCCATCTGGAAAAAAAAAAAAAAAAATTAGCCTGGCATGGTGGCGCGCACCAGTAGTCCCAGCCACCAGGAAGCCCGAGGCAGGGGATCACCTGGGCCCGAGAGGTGGAGGCTGCAGTGAGCTGTGATTGTGCCACTGCACTCCAGCCTGGGTGACAGAGTGAAACTCTATCTGAAAAGAAAAACAAAAACAAAAAACCCTTCACCTATTTGAATTATCTGATGATTTAGGATAACCGTTCTTACCCAAAGTCAGTGATTACGGGCTTTAGTCACTTCTATAAAATACGGTACCTTCACAGCAACATCTGGATTCGTGTTTGAGTAAATAATTGGGGAATGTAGCCTAACCAAGTTAACACATAAAAAAGACCATCACATTCCTCAAATACTTATCTTGGAACTTTGGGAGGGACTCATCCCACATATGCACTTATTTCTTCTTTCTGTTTCTTATAAGAAGGACTGCTAGAAAATGTGCCCTTCTAAACAAGCTTTTTAGAAATGTCTGTATTGTTTGCTTAGGATAGTAAAACCCCTTTTTGCCTGTTCATACAGAGGCATGAGGAGCCTCAAGTGGTTGAGGGTCAGTCTTAATTCCAATTCAGTGGAATCATTGCTGTGTTTCCTGGTGGAAGCATTCCTCCCTTTAAGCCTAAGACTCTAGACCAGCAGAACCTAAGGTCACAAGAAAAGGAGGCAGACGTTTTGCTAGTGGATCATTACAGGCAACGGCGAGTGGGGTCATTCCCATTTCCACCCCTCGAATCCTGGATTCGTGAATTCTGGCTATGGAAGAAACAGTAGCATGTATTAGACACTAATTTAGAGACTATCCAGCCTCCTAGAGGACTTTGCCCCACGAGGTATTGCCACCTGGTTGGCACTGTAATTGAGTCTTCAAAAGCCCATTCTGGCCAGGTACAGTGGCTCACACTTGTAATTCCTCGTTTGAGCCCAGGAGTTTGAGACCAGCCTGGACAACATAGTGAGACCCTGTCTCTAATTTAAAAATAAACAAAAACAATTTCAAGGCCATCTTACCACTCTATCAAGCCAGTTGCTTGAGGATATGGGGAACATGGTAAGATTCTGAGTTCCGTAAGCTGGGGCTCATTGCCACATGAATTGAGTTCTCCGATGAGAAGTAGTATTGTGTGAAATGTCATGATGGTGGATAAGGCGTGCTATAAATCCATGGACGGTCGTTTTAGCAGAAACATTGTCTACAGGAAAGGCAAATCTGTATCCAGAGTAAGTAGCTATTCTGGTAAGAACAAAGTGCTGGCCCTTCTATGATGGAAATGATTCAGTGTAATCAATTTGCCACCAGGTAGCTGTCTGATAACCCTGGGGTCCTATCAGGGTCTCTCCGCTGCCAGCAGACTGGGCACTCAGCACTGGCTGCAGCCAGGTCAGCCTTGGGGCTGAGCCCACACACAGCCTCCATCCCTGCCACCATGTCCACTTGATTCATGAGCCCAGTGGGCAATGACAGAACTGGCTGGGGAAAGAGGCTGACTGGTATCCATAAAATGGGTCATCCCATCCACCTATTGTTAAATTCTCTCTCTGCCGAGGTTACCATTTGGTGAGCACTCATGTGGAACATAAATATCTTCACATTTTTCCCTATTCAGAGAGGTCTATCTGCTTACTCCTTCTTCAGACCTCCTTGTCACCAACTTTCCAATTATGTTCCCTTTAAGTCTCTGACCATCCAGCCAGTCCATTGGTGATAGCCCATGCTATGGGTTAAATGTTTGTATCTCCCTAACATTTATCTGTTGAAATTCTAACCACCAATGTGATGGTATTAGGAAGTAGTGAGGGCGGAGCCCTCGTGAAAGGGATCAGTACTCCTTAGGAAAAGAGACACAGAGACCCTGCTTCCTCTCTGCTCTCTCCCACCATGTGAGGAGCCACAAAAAGACGGCCATGTGCAAACCAGGAGACTGCATTCAGCAGGTGCCAGAACCGCCAGCACCTGGATCTTGGACTTTCCAGCCTCCAGAGCTGTGAGAAATAAATTGTTGTTCACCTGTGTGCAGTGGCTCATGACTGTAATCCCAGCACAAGAGGAGAGGCAGGGGTGTGTCCTGAGGAGAATCGCAGAACCTTGCGAGGCAACTTAGATGAGGCCTATGAGGTTTATACCTGCAGAGTGTGGCCAATCTGCTCAGACAGGAAAGGCTACTTTTGGCAAAGAAGACTTGGCAGAATTTAGGGGTTTGATGATCCCAGCTTCATCAGGATCTGCCCATATGTCCCAATTCCAATTATCAGTATCCCATTCCTTCCCAGTCAATGCCCTTGCTTTAATAAAAGATCCTGCAAGATTGAGAATTGAATTTACATTGGAATTTAGCTACTTGGAGGATAAGACCCTGGATTTTATTTTCAGAAATCTCAGTCCTGTAACCACAGGAGATAAGAGTTTTTCTCAGGGCAGATAGAGAAGCTTTCAGATCATTTATGCAAAACATGAGCTAGGAATTTGAAGCCCTGAACTCATCCTTTTCTTTCCCCACTTTTTTTTTTTTTAATGAGACAGAGTCTTACTCTTTCATCCAGACTGCAGTGCAGTGGTGTGATCTCAGCTCACTGCAGCCTCTGCCTCCCAGGTTCAAGTGATTCTCCTGCCTCAGTCTCCCGAGTAGCTGAGATTACAGGTGTGTGCCACCACACCCAGCTAATCTTTGTATTTTTAGTAGAGATGGGGTTTTGCCCTATCTTAAAATATAAATAAATAAATATATAAAGAAGAACTCATTTTTAAGGTTCTACTCTTTTAGAACCACTTTCAGAACCAAAGCCTGTATTAGCCAGACTATAACCAAGACAAAGACGACTAGGAGATAAATATTAAGAGATTTATTGCAAGGAATTGGCCTGTGTGACTGTGGGGACTGGGTAGGCAAATCTGATGTCTGAAGGGCAGACCAGAAAAAGCAAGGTATAACTTTCTCAGGCATTACCAAATGCTGCTGCCCACAGATGAAATTTCTTCAGAGAACCCTCAGCTCTGCTCTGAAGGCCTTTCAAGGTCTGACTGAACCAAGCCCATTCAGATTATCTAGGATAATCTCCCTCAAAGTCAACTGATTATGGACTTGAATCACATCTATAAAATACCTGCACAGCAATGCCTAGATTTGAGTTTGATTGAATAATGGGACTGTAGCCTAGCCAAGTTGACACATAAAATTGACCATCACACCGGGCGCGGAGGCTCACGCTTGTAATCCTAGCACTTCGGGAGGCTGAGGCAGGCAGATCACCTGAGGTCGGGAGTTTGAGACCAGCCTGACCAATGTGGAGAAACCCCATCTCTACTAAAAATAAAAAATTAGCCATGCATGGTGGCAGGTGCCTGTAATCCCAGCTACTCGGGAGGCTGAGTTAGGAGAATTGCTTGAACCTGGGAGGCAGAGGTTGTGGTGAGCCGAGATCGTGCCATTGCACTCCAGCCTGGGCAACAAGAGTGAAACTCCGTCTCAAAAAAAAAAAAAATTGACCATCACAATGCCCCCTGTAGAAGGTGGAGAGCCTTTCAGCAGCGGATGCATTCACATGATCACCAATGTGCTGTAGGCCCATCGATTGCTCTGTGGAGGCTGGTTTCAAGGAAGGAAAGGCCGAAGGCAGACAGACTAGGTGAAAGACGATCCAGGCCTTGCTGTGAGCTGAAGCGGGTACTCCAAAACTCAGTTGTTCAAGCTTAACACCTTGTACCTCCAGCAACTGTATTTGGAGATACAGTTTGGAGGTGCTTAGGTTAACACGAGGCTGTTAAGGCCAGGTGTGGTGGCTCACGCCTATAATCACAGCACTTTGAGAGGCCAAGGCAGGTGGATGGCTTGAGCTCATAAATTCGAGACCAGTCTGAGCAACATGAGAAACCCCGGCTCTACGAAAAATACAAAAATTAGCTGGGTGTGGTGGTGCAGGAGGCTGAGGTGGGAGGATGGCTTGAGCCTGGGGGGCGGAGTTTGCACTGAACCGAGATGGTGTCACTGCATTCCAGCCTGGGCGACAGAACCAGAGCTTGTCTTTAAAAAAAAAAAAAAATGGGGCCGGGCACAGTGGCTCATGCCTGTAATCCCAGCACTTTCGGAGGCAGAGACTGGTGGATTGGTCAGGCTTGAGGCCAGGAATTCGAGACCAGCCTGACCAACGTGGCGAAAATCCATCTCTACTAAAAAATACAAAAATTTAGTCGTGGTGCACACCTGTAAATTCCAGCTACTCAGGAGGCTGAGGCACAAGAATCGCTTGAACCCAGGAGGCAGAGGTTGCAATTTTTAATAAAATTTTATTTTTCTTGGTCAGGCGCGGTGCTTCATGCCTGTAATCCCAGCACTTTGGGAGGCCAGGCGTGTGGGTCACCTGAAGTCAGGAATTCGAGACCAGCCTGACCAACATGGCGAAAACCTGTCTCTACTAAAAAGACAAAAATTAGCTGGACATGGTGGCAAATGCCTGCTACTCGGGAGGCTGAGGCAGGAGAATCACCTGAGCCTGGGAAGTGAAGGTTGCAGTGAGCCGAGATAGCACCACTGCACTCCAGCCTGGGTGACAGAGCAAGATCTTGTCTCAAAAAAAAAAAAAAAGATTATTTTTTGTCACACCAACAAATTCAGCTTCGAAGGAAGAGAAATTTGAACAATATTGACAGAAAGTTGAAGGGCAGGCAACTGGTAACGGCTCAGGCCTGACTGAGGGGGTTCACTATCCTGCTTATTCCAGACAAGCGGTCTGTTAGATTTTCCATCAGCCCAAATAACCTTCTACAGGGTGGAATTTATCATTTCCCAAGAGAGAAGCATCCGCTGCACCCTCAAAGCACAGCCACACAAAGACCTGTGGCTAAACTGGACACTTTGCTTGCCACTGATCTACTAGACGCATGGTTTCCAGAAGGAGATTGTCTGTGGCCGCAAACGGATTGCGAGCAGACTGCGAAGGGGTAGTGAAACCACCGCGGGGCTTCGGAAATGCTTCTCCGCTGAGCAAAGCTAAAAAGAAGTCTACAAGACACCGTGGATTTGGATGAAAAGAGTCTGCCTCCCCTTTGTCAACAGAAAGCCACAAGCACGCGTGTGCTGTGATGTGAAATGCTGGCATGAAGCAGCAGGAGTTTCCATTTTGTCACACTATAGGGAAACGCTGGAGCATCTCTGCAGCTGTCCCACTGACCCCCAGGACAACTGGAAGTCTAACATTTTTCCTTCTCATCACCTCCTCCACCCCTGGTGAAAGCTTTCCTGCCTCTTTGCCTTTCTGGATGGGAGAGCGCAGCTGGGGACACCCGAGGCAGCTCAAGCTGGAACACAAGGGCAGGGGAAAGCAGCGGACAAGATATGAAAGGGCTTGGGAGACATGGGAGTGAGATTGAAGGGCCCGAAGCACAGACAGAGCTGGCCCACGAGAGAGGAAGTGTTGCCTAGGATGTACTGTCTCTTCTCCTTCCTGGGATGATGAGAGGGCAGGAGCCACCTCGGACAGGTGTGCCCCCGTGCCCAGTGGAGTTCGCTAGAAGTGAGGCCTGCTGCTTCCCAACAGCTAAGTCATGGTGGAAAGCAGAGTGAAAATGTTTTCTTCCAGGAAAACAGGACCTCTGTTTCCATGACGCAGCCTCTGCTATTATCACACTGTGTGACCTGGACAAGTGTCAACCTTTCAATCTGTAGTTTCATCTGTAGATAATAATACCTGCCTCTTTGGGCGTCATGACGCAGAGTTATTAAGTACAGAGAGAATGAGTAAATATTCATCAAACTCCAAGACACCAGTAGGTGAAAGGTTTATGGGGAAACTTTTAGCCAGGCGTGATGGTGGGTGCCTGTAGTCCCAGCTACTCGGGAGGCTGAGACAGGAGAATCACTTGAATCTGGGAGGTGGAGGTTGCAGTGAGCCGAGATCGCACCATTGCACTCCAGCCTGAGTGACAAGAGCGAGACTCTGTCTCAAAAAAACGAATAAATAAATAAAATAAAAACTAATTCGGCTGGGGAAGGGTAGTGATAAATTTGCAGTTAACAGAATGTTTAAGTCTGAAGCCATGGCTGTTATGGTAGAGATCTCTTCAGGGCCCAGGCAAGACTTCGGTCACTGCGGCCAGGGCCAGGACTCGGTTCCTATCTCCCCCTCGCTGCCCTTGCATTGTTCTCCAAATCCCCTGGTGACCGAGCAGATACCCTGGAGGGACGAAACGAGGCCCACCCTGGCTTCCTCGAGCAGGACAGGGCCTGCCTGTGTGCTTTTCTTTAGTCTCAGAAAAGCCAAAATTAGCCTCACTTTTGTTTCTTTTCTCAGGAGCCTCTAAATTGTATCTCAGGAAAGGATTATTGTGCTCTAGGGACCCTATCTTATCGTGGGGTGTGGGGGAGGCGATGAGTGAAAGGAAAATGGTCTTTGACAAATTGGTTCAATTCGGACAATCACGTGATTTTCCAGTAATTGCCCACCACTGCTGTAGTGAGCTATTGTTTCACTTCCCAAATATTTAGTCAAGTAGGAGGCCTGAGAAAACTGGGGAGGGTCAGAGGCTGGAGAGCACGCTCATGGAGGGGAAAAGTGCTGTTTTTGGTGATCTCTGCATATTGTTGTGAATGGTAATACTAAGGACGCTCTGGACTCTTTATCACTAACTTTGAAGGACTGACAACCACTTTAGGTGTAAGGAGACCCCTCAGGGACACCCCCTGCCGGAATGCACTGCCGTGGGGGAAGAGTCCTTCTGAGGCGTGGGCTCTGGAGCTGGTAGCTTTTGAGCCTAGTTTGATCCAGCTCTTCCCTGCTTCATGGCCGACCAGGCTGCCTTGCTGACCCCTCTGAGGAGATAAGGGAGTATTGTTTTACCTCTCCTGGTGAACACCGCTGAGAAAAACAAAGTCACACACTGTGAATTAGGGGACAAATGAGACTCGGGCTGCCGGAGCTAAAGGCTTCACACAAAGAATCCAAGGCATGACCAGGCATTTGCTCTTATGCAACTTTTCAAAAATTCCTGGGTCTCCAGGGAAAAAGAGCATGAGCTCTGGGGTGACCTCACCCTGCCTCACTCAGCCTGACATCACGGGACATTTGGGGGATTAGGTCGGACGGTGGCGGCAGCGGCAGCACGTGAGAATGTGTGTTATCGACGGGGAACACTTTTCCCGTGCTCTCATGTGGTCATCTGTCTGATATGCCTGTGGGTGGAGGTGGGCAGAGGGGAAGGGAGTGTCCTGTCACCGGCGACAGAAAAGAGCCATGAGGTCATTGGAGCCCAAGGCTTTCCTCACTGACCATCGGCAGCAATTGTCTTCCCAGCTTCCACTCCCAAGGGTTCACCTCCGCTCCCACAGAGGGTTCTGATCTTGGGATTCCTGCTTTGGACACACATTTTCTTCCATCTGAAAATAGGCCCTGATAGTCGGACAGGGGATATATTATTTGGAGAGAGATTTGGCAATTAACTTTGACAATTTTGTTTTTTTCCAGCTTCTGATGACAATTCCCTCACATCTGAGCCCCTCTGAGATGCTGCCCTTGCTTCTTATAACTCCCTGCCTAGGCATGATGTGCAGGCAGCCCTTCGCCCACCTTGCCCACACCCTCCCCGCCCAGGGTTCCTCACCATGCATCTCACTGCGATCTGGGATCCCTCCCACTCCTCCACCTCCATCCCACTGAATCAGCGTCGCCGATCAGGAGCTGAGACCTGAGAAGCTGTATAAGAAGCAGACCACTCCCGCGATTCTGCTGCCCACTGAACTGGAGAATCATTGAGTCGGCTGATCTCTAACCACCGACTCAGAGCCTGCGTTCTAGAATCGAAATGTTCCCAGGGAAGGCAGCCTCAAGGGAATCAACGGACAGCCTCCCACTTGTGCAGGGGTTTTAATAACCATTAGGTCTCAGTCTTCCTACCTCAGTGATTCTCTTCCTTGGCTGCATGTTGGAATCATGCCTGGGGTTTTTTAAAGTTACACATAATATGGTTCCCAGCAGAGATGAGACATACGGGCTTTCCCCACCCCGCTTCTCTAAGAAGCAAAAAATGGCCTTGGAATCCCAGGCAGTGGTACCACCGGAAGTGTAATGTTGACACCTGGTAAGGAAATCTCCCAACTAAGTCACCTGGAGGCACAGAGGGCAGCCATCTGAACAGAGTGGGGACTGGGGATCCCAGGACTTACTGTGGTAATTTCCTTTAGAAGAATCGCTTCAGTGTTGGAGAAAGGGGTGCTCTCAGACGCTTAGGCTCCAAGGCGGCCAAACAAATGCTGCAGACCCTGGGGTGGATCTCTGGGGAAGAGCGGGCAAGAGCGTGGAGGTCCTGGCTCCCTGTGCTGGTGAGGCTGGAACGGGGTCTGACACAGCATCCCACAGCCAGCTGGTGTCCCACGAGGAGGCTGTATAGGTGAACTTAGGAGTCCAAGTAGGGATTCCTTGGCCAGGATTAGCAAGAGGGAGGGGAAGGTGGTCTCTTCTTGAAGAGGCACAGCTGCCCTGCGAGGCTGCTAGGAGCAGCTGGAGGGTACAAGCTAAGGATGGGGCAGGACCAGTGACTGACAGTGACACCATGAGGCAGTGAGCGGTCACAGCAGAGGTAACCGTAACTGCTAATAATGATTTGGTGTTGTTTGCCCAGCATTGATCAATGTGCCTTACACTTATTAATTCACCCGATAACAGTTCTGTGAGGAAGTCATTATCACCCCCACTGTAGAGAGAAGGAAATGGAGGCATGAAGGCTACACAATTAGAGTGGCTGCCAGTCTGTGAACCCAGGCAGTCTGGCTCTGGAGCCCACACCCCTACCCAGGAGGCCTTGCTGCCTTCATGGCAATAGCCTTCATTTATTGAGCACTTACTATGTGCTGTCACAGCCTCTGTGCTCTTTCAGCCTTCACCGCAATCTTCTGAGGTGGGGCATACTTTTCTTCTCATTTCACAGATAAGGAAAGTGAGGCGCAGGAAAGAAAAATAGGCAACTGCTTACCATCCATTCTCTCCCCTCTGGGAGTGGAAGCCAGACTAATTCCACGGCAGCTCCTTTGTTTTTTTTTTTTTTTGGAGACAGAGTCTCGCTCTGTCGCCTAGGCTGGAGTGCAGTGGCACGATCTCGGCTCACTACAACCTCCACCTCCCAGGTTCAAGGGATTCTCCTGCCTCAGCCTCTCGAGTAGCTGGGATTACAGGTGCCTGCCACCACGCCCAGCTAAATTTTGTATTTTTAGTAGAGATGGGGGTCACCGTGTTGTCCAGGCTGGTCATGAACTCCTGACCTCAGGTGATCCACCCTGCTCAGCCTCCCAAAGTGCCGGGATTACAGGTGTGAGTCACTGTGCCCAACCAGCTCCTTCACTTTTTAGAACTCAATAAGCCTTTAGGGTTCTCAGAAAACTCAGGGTAGGTGGAAGCTTCAACAGGGGATTCTGGGCATCCTGCAATACAACGTTTGCCCTCTTGAGTGCAGAACTGGAAAAACAAAGATTATAGGACATTCTTTCTCCCTCTAAATTTGTGAAAGCAAATCATACCAATTATAGGGGCCTCATCCCAGATCCATTTAATCAGAATACATGAAGAGTGGGGCCAGGAAATCTGAATTAAATCAAAACCAAAAACAAACCACAGGTGATTCTGGTGCACAACTGGGGTTGAAAATCACTGCGTTATCTCACGGTCATATGCATGGCCCCAGTGAGCAGTCAGCACTGTTTCACCTTGCCCGCTGCCTAGACACAGCCTATTTATCAAGACAGGGGAACTGCAGTAGAGAAAGAGTAATCCATGCAGAGCCGGCCGTGTGGGAGACCGAAGCTGTATTATTACTCAAATCAGTCTCCCCGAGCATTCGGGGAGCAGAGTTTTTAAGGACAGCTTGGTGGGTGTGGAGAGCCAGTGAGCCGGGAGTGCTGATTGATCAGGGATGATATCACAGGGAGTCAGCTGTCTTCTTGCGCTGAGTCAGTTCCTGGGTCGGGGCCACAAGATCAGATGAGCCAGTTTATCCATCTGGGTGGTGCCAGCTGATCCATCAAGTGTGGAGTCTGCAAAATATCCCAAGCGCTGATCTTAGGAGCAGTGTAGGGAGGGTCAGAATCTTGTAGCCTCCAGCTGCATGGCTCCTAAACCATCATTTCTAATCTCTTGGCTAATTCGTTTGTCCTACAAAGACAGTCTAGACCCCAGGCAAGAAGGAGGTTTGTTTTGGGAAAGAGCAGCTGTCGTCTTTGCTTTAAAGTAGAAACTAAGTTTCTCCCAAAGTTAGTTCACCTTCGCCCAGGAATGAACAAGGACAGCTTGGAGGTTAGAAGCAAGATGGAGTTGGTTAGGTCAAGTCTCTTTCACTGTCTCGCTTACAGTTTTGCAATGGCGGTTTCATTTCCAACAACAACTTCTAGTTTTCAAATTCTCTTGCTTAGAAAGAAGCTGCATGCGAGACCTGAGCAAAACTCCTCTCCTGTCACAGAGGGGATGTTGCTCAACAGGCAAGAGAACGTGCCAAGGAAGGAGTTGGGTCAGGCCTGGGGCAGACAAGCAAACATCCAGGCACTCTATTCTTACCCTTCCCCCTGCCTTCTCTACTTGGAGAATCATCAACTGGTCTTAAAAGCCAGGCCCATGAAGCCATGTCTTCTTGGTGAACACTCCCCCTGTCTGGCCTCCGCCTCCTCCTGGCCTCTCCTCCTGGGCACTGCGCTTCCCCTACAGGGCTGAGGTGCCCTTGCAGACAAGGGCTGGGAGTTATTCCTGTGCTCCCCCTGCCCCAGCAGGGTGCCTTGGACATAGTAACCCCTCAGGAAGTGTCAGTCCAATGAACATAAGGGAAAGGAAGATGGGAGGAGTGAAGACAGAGGGACAGAGAAGTCAAAGGGTAAAGCGGTAACCATATTTGGGGGATGGCCAGTGAAAGGTGATTTAATGCCAACCCCATGAGTAAATGGGATCTTTACTCTGACCCATGGGACAGCCGGTCCAGGTACTCACCTGGTCACCCTCTACCTGTGGATCACAAATACTGAGAGAAACATGAGAACAACATGCATGATTGTACCAGGAATCATTTATTATCATTGTTGATCCTTATTATGACCCTCTGAGATAAGCAGGGTAGATATTAATAATCCCATTTTGCAGCTGAGGAAGCTAAAGCTCCAAAAGGGCCAGGTGCAATGGGTCACGCCTGTAATCCCAACACTTTGGGAAGCGAAGGCAGGAGGAACCCTTGAGGCCAGGAATTCAAGACCAGCCTTAGCAACATAGTGAAACCCCCATCTGTGCAAAAAATTAAAAGTTGCCGGGCACGGTGGCTCACGCCTGTAATCCCAGCACTTTGGGAGGCTGAGATGGGTGGATCACCTGAGGTCAGGAGTTCGAGACCAGCCTGGCCAACGTGGTGAAACCCCATCTCTACTAAAAATACAAAAATTAGCTGGGCGTGGTGGCGAGCACCTGTAGTCCCAGCTACTTAGGAGGCTGAGGCAGGAGAATTGATTGAACCCAGGAGGCGGAGGTTGCAGCGAGCTGAGATCGTGCCACTGCATCACAGACTGGGTGACAGAGTGAGCCTCCATTTAAAAAAAAATATTAAAAGTTAGCCAGGTGTTGTGGTGTGCACCTGTAGTCCTAGCTACTTGGGAGACTGAGGCAGGAGCATCAATTGAGCCCAGCAATTTGAGGTTATAGTGAGCTATGATTGCACCACTGTAATCCAGCCTGGGCAACCGAGCAAGACCCTGTCTCTCCAAAAAATTAAAAGAAAAAAAAAAGCTCAGAATGTAGCTACTAAGCAGAAGGTGGGTTAATGCAAGTTCATCGTGAGGCAAAAATAGCTCAGATTTTTTTTTTTTTTGAGACGGAGTCTTGCTCTGTCACCCAGGCTGGAGTGCAGTGGCGCGATCTCAGCTCACTGAAGCTCCGCCTCCCAGGTTCATGCCATTCTCCTGCCTCAGCCTCCCGAATAGCTGGGATTACAGGTGCCCACCACCACACCCAGCTAATTTTTTTGTATTTTTAGTAGAGACAGGGTTTCACCGTGTTAGCCAGGATGTTCTCGATCTCCTGACCTCATCATCCGCCTGCCTCAGCCTCCCAAAGTGCTGGGATTACAGGCGTAAGCCACCACGCTGGCCCCATAGCTCAGACTTTTAACATTGAAAAAGTCTTGAAAGCCATCTGATCCAACTCTCTGGTCAATGGTAACATCTTCCCCAAACCATCTTTTAATTTTTGAGATGGAGTCTCGCTCTGTCTCCCAGGTAGAGTGCAGTGGTGCCAACTTGGCTCACTGCAGCCTCCGCCTCCTGGGTTCAATGGATTCTCCTGCCTCAGCCTCCCAACTAGCTGGGATTACAGGTGTGCGTCATGATGCCCGACTAATTTTTGTATTTTTAGTAGAGATGGGATTTCACCATGTTGGCCAGGCTGGTCTCAAACTCCTGGCCTGAAATGATCCACCCACCTTGGCCTCCCAAAGTGCTGGGATTACAGGTGTGAGGCACCGTGCCTGGCCCAAAACATCTCTATAGGTGGGTTGAGGCTGTGTTGGAATTACTCCAGTAACACGGAGCCCGTGCAACCATTGCAGCTCAGACAGGACCACATGAAAGCTCTCCTTTACCCTAACTTACAGTCTTTCTCTGTATCACATGCCCATTAGCTCAATCCTCTCCTCCTGAAGACCAATCCAAAGGCATCAGCTCCTTTCCACTCTGCGGGCTCTGTGCTACCACCCCTAACGTGACAAGACCAATATCCAGGACTGAGCCTAGGCCTTGCTTCCCACCCCGTGAAGTAGGAGGCTGCCAGCCCCTGCTCGGCTGGGACACTGACTCATTCGTGACAGTGTGGGTGAGTCACTGCTTGCCTACAAGGGGTCTACTTCCCGGTTAAGGTGCTATTAAAAGGGTAACAGCCTCTGCCACTCTGCTCACTCAGGAGACAGTGGAGCATCTAAGGTGTCTCAATCTTGCCTCCTCAGAAGTTCAAAGGTCTTTACTTATACAATCTCATAATAAAAATATACTCAGGACCTAAAAGACATCCTGATGACTTTTAAAGAAATATGGAACTAGACCTAAAACAGGGGATGCTAGCTGGGCTGGGTGGCACGTGCCTGTAGTCCCACCTACTAGGCTGGCTAAGGTGGGAGGATCGTTGAGCCAGGAGTTTGAGAACAGCTGGGCAACATAGCCAGACCCTGTGTCTTAAAGAAAAAAAAAGAGAGAGAATCTACAAAACTAACTGCTTCATGCTAAGGAAGTAATAATAATAACTGATACCTTTATAGCATTTGGGAGTGGAAAGGCCCTTTCATGGTTTGCTTTTAGTTTTTTTCTGTGTGTGTGTGTGTTTTTTTTTTTTTGGATGGAGTTTTGCTCTTGTTGCCCAGGCTGGAGTGTAATAGCACGATCTCAGCTCACTGCAAGCTCCACCTCCCTGGTTCAAGTGATTCTCCTGCCTCAGCCTCCTGAGTAGCTGGGATTACAGGCACCCACCACCATGCCCAGCTAATTTCTGTATTTTTAGTAGAAACGGGGTTTCACCATGTTGGCCATGCTGGTCTTGATCACCTCAGGTGATCCGCCCCTCTCAAAGTGCTGGGATCACAGGCGTGAGCCTCCACGCCCGGCATGGTTTCTAGTTTTTGGAGGCACCATAGAGTAAAGCAGGTAGAAGAGGAGTACACTTTTTTTCTTTCTTTCTTTTCTTTTTTTTTTAATGAACAAGAATAGGAGTCCCACAGTTGGTGAATGGTGGGAGTTAGGACTGGTCCCCATCAGAGCTGGCGTTCTGGAGACCACACAGGTGCTGACAGCCCCGGGCACTGATGTGCGTCAGCTCGGGCCGAGTGCTGGCTGCCCTGGCTGGGATTGGCAGCAGCACTTCTGAGCCTGGCGCTTTATTGTGTACTATCTTATCTCAATAGGAAAAGGCAATTCAGGGGAAGAATTTCCCTGTCACAGTGCTCCAGACTTTCCATTGTCCAGCTTTCTTAGTCCTGGGTCATCCCCTGGGTCTGACCATTACTCATATCCATGGAGGCACCTTATCAGGGCTGTCTAAGATATGGGGCCTATTTTTTTCTCAGTACCAGACAAACTGGAATTTATCCACCCTTTGTGGCCTGACATCACACGACAATTAGTCGGCCCAGAATCCAGCCACATTTGGGAAGCTGCTTGAAAAGCAGTCTCTAATAACCAGCTCTTTCCTTGCAAAGCCCTAGAATTTCAGGGTCCTCTGCTGGCAACAGTGGTGGAGATGCGTGGAGACCCCATCTCATGATGGGCCAACTGTGAGACTCTTTCTTTTTTTTTTTTTTTTTTTTTTTGAGATGGAGTCTCGCTCTGTTGCCCAGGCTGGGGTGCAGTGGTGCAATCTCAGCTCACTGCAGCTTCTGACTCCTGGGTTCAAGAAATTCTCCTACCTCAGCCTCCCGAGTAGCTGGGATTACAGGTGCCCACCACCACGCCTGGCTAATTTTTGTATTTTTAGTAGACAGGGTTTCACCACGTTGGCCAGGTTGGTCTCGAACTGCTGACCTCAGGTGATCCACCCGCCTCAGCCTCCCAAAGTGCAGGGATTATAGGCGTGAGCCACTGTGCCCGGCCTTTTTTTGTTTTTGAGATGGAGTTTCGCTCTTGTTGCCCAGGCTGGAGTGCAATGGCGCCATCTCAGCTCACCGCAACCTCCGCCTCCTGGCTCCAAGCAATTCTCCTGCCTCAGCCTCCTGAGTAGCTGGGATTACAGGCAGGTGCCACCACACCCGGCTAATTTTGTATTTTTAGTAGAAACAGGGTTTCTCCATGTTGGTGAGGCTGGTCTCGAACTCCTGACCTCAGGTGATCCACCTGCCTCGGCCTCCCAAAGTGCTGGGATTACAGGCGTGAGCCACGCCTGGCGAGAATCTTTCTTTACTCCTGTTCTTTCTCACCCAGCTGGCTTTGAAAAACTTCCAACCTACAGAAAAGATGAAAGAATAACGAACATGTTTATGCTATTCGCCTAGATTAATCCATTGTTCCCGTTTTTCCGTTTGCTTTGTCTCTCTCCAACTACCTGAAAAATTTATAATTTTTTTCTGCTGAAATATTTAAAAGTCAGTTGCTTGGGGCCAGGTGCGGTGGCTCACACCTGTAATCCCAGCACTTTGGGAGGCCAAGGCGGGAGGATCACGAGGTCAGGAGATCGAGACCATGGTGAAACCCCGTCTCTACTAAAAATACAAAAAAAAATTAGCCAGGCATGGTGGCAGGCGCCTGTAGTCCCAGCTACTCAGGAGGCTGAGGCAGGAGAATGGTGTGAACCCGGGAGGCGGAGCTTGCAGTAAGCCGAGATCATGCCACTGCACTCCAGCCTGGGCGAGAGAGCGAGACTCTGTCTCAAAAAATAAAAATAAAAAATAAAAAATAAAAGTCAGTTGCCAAATCACGGTGCTTCACTCCTAAGTAGTTCAGCATGTATATCCAAAGGGGCGTTCTCCTGTGCAACCATAATATTATTAAGAAAGGAAACAATAAAGTTAGCTAATACACTGTACATATTCAAATTTGCTCAATTGTCCCAGTAATCCCATATAGCTCTCCCACCCCATCCCCACTGCAGACTCCTTTAAACTAGAACAGTTCTCTTAAGATGTATTTAAGTATTTCCACAGTCAAGAAACATCTACTACAAAAATCCACATAATCTTTTTACAACAGAATCTAATGACTTCTAAGACTTTTCTGATCTATCAAAATTTTTCTTATAATTGTGAATGGTGGCTCAAGCTCTCTTGTGTTCTACCTTTACTAGTTTACATTATGGTTTTGTTTTTTTTTTGAGACAGAGTTTTGCTCTGTTGCCCAGGCTGGAGTGCAGTGATCACTGCAACCTCCGCCTTCTGGATTCAAGCAATTCTCCTGCCTTAGCCTCCCGAGTAGCTGGGATTACAGGCGTGTGTCTAATTTTTGTATTTTTAGTAGAGACGGGGTATTCACCATGTTGGCCAGGCTGGTCTTGAACTCCTGACCTCAGGTAATCTGCCCCCACTTGGCCTCCCAAAGTACTGGGATTACAGGGGTGAGCCACTGCACCCGGCCTATTAGCTGACATTATCTTTCATAATTTTTTTTTTTTTTTTTTTACTGTGTGTGAACTGAGAATTCATGCTGTGAGAACAGGCAAAGCCACTCAGGCACTGCAGTAGATGATTTCAAGGTAATTCATGTCTGTTCTTCAATCCATGGTTCTGTGATATTTTAGGTTTAATGGCAAAATGTCATTTCTTCATTAAAGCATAATGTTTGGGCCAGGTGTGGTGGATCATGCCTGTAGTCCCAGCGCTTTGGGAGGCCGAGGAAGGTGGATCACTTGGGGTCAGAAGTTCAAGACCAGCCTGGCCAACATGGCGAACCCCGTCTCCACTAAAAATACAAAATGTAGCCAGTCATGGTGGCACGCGCCTGTAGTCCCAGCTACTCGGGAAGCTGAGGCAGGAGAATCGCCTGAACCCAGGAGGCAGAGGTTGCAATGAGCTGAGATGGCACCACTGCATTCCAGCTTGGGCAACAGAGACAGACTCCATCTCAAAAAAAAAAAAAAAAAAGTATGTTTAATTCTGCACAACAGTGGGGTTTGGGAGCTTTATCACTTTTTTTTTGTTTGTTTGCTATTCTAAGTAGTTTTGTGAGAACATCTCATACAAATAGATCTGTTTTAAAAGTAATTTCCCGGCTGGAGTGGTGGCTTGTGCCTGTAATCCCAGTACTTTGGGGGACCAAGGCAGGAGGATCTCTGGAGCCCAGGAGTTCGGAACCAGCCTGGGCATCATAGTGAGACTCCGTCTCTGTATTTGAAAATGATAACAAAATACCAAGAAGAGATGGAAAAAGTAAATACATAAAAGCAATTTCCCGAGGACAGTGTTTTTCAGAGACTGGTCCTGGACCATCTGTAGCAGAATCACCTGAGGAGCCTGCTAAGCTTCCCAAGCCCTGCCCAGACCTAGGGAATCCTCCGGGTGGAGCCTAAGAGTCTACATTTGAGTATCAGGGCTTTAGGCTATACTGGCTAGCAGAAGGTAAGGCCCATGAAATGGCCCTTTTCATCCATGGCCATGCTGTCCTTGGGAAAGATGGTGGTGGCCGCCGTGTATGACGTCCCTTGTTCCAGCTGTGGGTTTAGAGAATCCCTCAGATTTCCTCTGGAGATTCCAGGTGCCAAGACACCTGTAGGAGGAAGGCCGGAAGGGAAAGGTCAAGTCCGGAGCAGAGGCGTGGACCGCGGCAGGCTGCTGTTGGAGCGTGCTGGGCTCAGAAGCCGGGTTCTAGCTAGGAAACTGCGGAGTGGCCAAGGAGTTCCTGGCGCGAGGCACGCCACACAACCCTCGGATGCGAAGACGGTGACCATCCATTTCTCAATACGCCAGTGGCCCTGCCGTGCTACTGAGCCTCGTCAGCCTGTATAATGGAAGCTGAAGATGATGCAGCTCAGGAAAAGCAAGTATGATCTTAAGAACCCTGTAGCTGGAAAGCATGTTCCAAATCAAACCTAATGGAGACAACTACTAGAAGGTATAAAAGTTTTTTTTTTTTTTGAGACAGAATTTTGCTCCTGTTGCCTAGGCTGGAGTGCAGTGGCGCGGTCTCAGCTCACTGCAGCCTCTGCCTCGCCGGTTCAAACGATTCTCCTGCCTCAGCCTCCCAAGTAGCTGAGACTACAGGCGCCCACCACCACGCCCGGCTACTTTTTGTATTTTTGGTAGGGACGGGGTTTCACCATGTTGGCCAGACTGATCTCAAACTCCTGACCTCAGATGATCCGCCCGCCTCACCCTCCCAAAGTGTTGGGATTACAGGCGTGAGCCACCGCGCCCAGCCCAAAAGATTTTAAAAAGGAGTCTCTTGGAGGCAAAGGGACAGAACATTATTGTTTTTCATCATAAACCTTTTGGTGCAATCTGATTTTCTTTTTTTAAACCATGTACTTGCACTATTTTTATCTCAAAAAAGGTTTTTAATGCATTTAAAAACAAAGAAAAGAATGGTTTATAATACACCGTTAGGCTTCTGGGAGGTCTGAAACACACTATGAACCGTAAAATAACCTTGTAATTATCTCCTTAAAAACCGAGTGGGGTGGGCCAGGCGTGGTGGCTCACGCCTGTAATCCCAGCACTTTGGGAGGCCGAGGCGGGCGGATCACGAGGTCAGGAGTTCGAGACCAGCCTGACCAACATGGTGAAACTCCGTCTCCACTAAAAATACAAAAATTAGCCGGGCGTCGTGGCGCGCCCCTGTAGTCCCAGCTATTCAGTCGCAGAAGAATCGCTTGAATTCGGCAGGCGGAGGCTGCAGTCAGCAGAGACCGCGCCACTGCATTCCAGCCTGGGCGACAGAGACTCCGTCTCAAATAAACAAACCAAAACTGAACTACGGAGACGCCCTCGACAGTTCTTTCCCGGCTGCGTCGCCGCTGGCTGAGGTCAGAAACGCCGGCCTTCGGCTGCGGCGGCGGCTGCGGCGGCGGGGCGGGGCCGCGGGACTCTCGCTCCTCGCGGGAGGCGGTGGCTGCGGAGTGCGCACGCGCGGAACCGCAATTCCGTTCTTCCCGGAAGTGCCCTGCTGGTGCTGGGAGTAGGGCGCAAGATGTCGGCGGATGCAGCTCCGAGGAGGTAGGCAGTGGGAGCCGGCGTTCAGTCCGGCCCGTGCCAACAGTGGTTCCTCTCTCCCCCGTAGTTCGAGGAGACCACGCGCTGCCCCTCTGGCACGATCGTGGATGAACCCCCTGGCAACTGAAATGGGAAAGGCAGCGCCCCCGACTCTGGGGACTGGACCGAAGTCCACGGTAGTGACAGCTGCCAGACCCTGAGGAGAGGACGAGAAGACCCGAGGCCTCTGCTACGAACACTGGCAGCCGATGGAAAATTCAGACGGATTTGGGACAGTATGCAGAGTTCTCCAAGCGACAGATTAACAGAGGCTCTTGAAGAATAACTGCGTAATCACGTGTTCTGCTCAAAAGAAGGCCTGAATGCCCAGTGCCTTATTTGGCTTTCAGGGTTGGTGAAAGAAAAAGCAAAGTAGATGCTTTCTAATGCTAAGTCATTTAATGTAGCACCATTCCTTGAACTTCTTTCATCTCTAAGGTCGTCCCTTTCACCTGATGATGACCTTTGGGCCATCGTACAGGCATGTGTAAACTTGGAGATCTTCCTCAACATTGCACCATATCTTGGGTTCATTCAAGGCAGAGTCTCCTTGCAAAAGCATTCTAAAACAATGTAAAGTCGAAGAGAGTAGAGCAATACCTCCATAGTTGGAAAATGTGGAGGAGGCCAATTAAGGGACAGAAAAAGAAGTGCAGAGAATCTTGGAATTGTTGCAAAATTATTCTGGAGATATTTCTAAGTCTCCTCTATCCTTTTCCTTAGTGATTAATACAGGTTTTTATATTAAGTGGACAGTAAAATCCAAACAGAAAGAGGTATATGTCGTATAATGAAGCCTATGTTCAAAGTATATCTGAAATTTGTTTTTATAATGTCTTTCTTGAGAGCTTATAAAGATGTCAGTATTCTGTGGGAAACAAATTGGCACATGCATAAAAGAGAAAAAATGAAAAAAATCAGGCCCAACTTTCAGTTTACAGATGAGGAAACTGTGACATAGAAAAGGAAATGACAAAGATCACACTGAATCAGACCTGGGAACTGGAGCCCAGCCATGCTCCTTGGCCCAGTGCCTCTTCTTATTCTAGGAGCTCATACCCCTTTGAAAGAAACATAATATGAATGTGTCTTCAAATGATGCTCATAAATCTCTTCATCATACTGAGGGAGGGAGATAAGGGGATTAGTTCTTCAGGATCTAGACAGGCTTTCAAGAAAATCTTTAGCTGGGTGCGGTGGCTCATTCGTGTAATCCCAGCGCTTTGGGAGGCTGAGGCAGGTGGATCACCTGAGGTCAGGAGTTCCAGATCAGGCTGGCCAACAGCGTCTCTACTAAAAATACAAAAATTAGCCAGGCATGGTGGCGGGAGCCTGTAATCCCAGCTACTCGGGAGGCTGAGGCAGGAGAATCGCTTGAACCTGGGAGGCGGAGGTTGCAGTGAAGTGAGATCGTGCCATTGCACTCCAGGGCAACGAGTGAAACTCCATCTCAAAAAAAAAAAAAAAATCATCATCATCATCATCTTAGCAGAGCTCTCGCTAAATGATAAAGACTTGGCAACTGATATCCTTTTTTTCAGAGAACTTAAGTAGAGACTGGATAATCACTAATTGGGGTTGTGTTTAAGGGCATTCAAACCTCTGAAATCTCTTCCATCTGCAGGTCTAATTATTTGGTTACTCTTTCAGTACATGTGTGCAGGAAGCATGGGGGGAAAGAAAACTAATCCCTCTCCAAAGTCTTCTTTGAATAGGTATTATGTTTGCATTTTCATACATGTTAGTTCACTTAGTCTTCACCATAGGCTTTCTAGGTTGGTATTATTCTTAGTCTACCTAAGAAGTTCACAAAGGTTAGGTGACATGCTCCAAGCCACACAGATGATAGGCGGCACAACCAGATGATACTACAGGTCTCCAGATGAGTGAGCCAATGATTACATAGTTTGTTCCCCAGCCCCTCCCCAGTGTAGGTAAAGTGCCTGCACTGCTCACTGGGTCATCAGAGCAAGTTGCTCCCACTGCCCTCTTGGTCTAACGGCTAGAAACAAAGCTGCAACAGAGGCCCACTCCTACTAGGAGACAGGCATTTTAATTGGCACCTCCTTACAAAGGCTCCAGTGTTCTAGAGCTTTGCATACAGGAAGATTCTCGTTGAACAATGAAGCCAAACCTCGCTTCCAAAATTCCCAGTTTGGTAGTTCACTGTGGATGAAGAGGCCGGAGACACCCTTAGACAAGCTGGGACCGTGATGATAGGAACCAGTTTGTGAAGGGAGGAGGCTGGGCTAACAGGATCTAGGGAGATAGATGATATCTGGACCTTAGGTAGTTCGTGTTACTCAAAGTCAGCAAGGTTTTTGTTGTTTTTTGAGACAGTCTTGTTATGTTGCCCAGCCTGGAGTGCAGCAGTGCGATCTCAGCTCGCTGCAACCTCCACCCCGTGGGTTCAAGCAATTCTTGTGCCTCAGCCTCCTGAGTAGCTGGGACTACAGGTGCGGGCCGCCACACTTGGCTAATTTTTTGTACTTTTAGTAGAGATGGAGTTTCACCATGTTGGCCAGGCTGGTCTTGAAGTCCTGTCCTCAAGTGATCTGCCTGCCGCAGCTTACCACAAGTGCTGGGATTACAGGTGTGAGCCACTGCACCTGGCCAAGATCATTTGATGTTCTTGGGTGAATGGCCACTTTCACCTGGATCCCACCAATTTTTGGTGCCCTAGGGAGCATGATCCAGAGTTCCCTCAAGACAGAGGATGTGCTAAAGGCAAACTCCAGAGGTCATCCTATCCCCATGCCTTCCGCCTTTCTAAAGAGAAGCTCTTCTGCCCTGCTGTTACCACTCAGTACTCTAGATTAAACCTGTTCCCCACGTTCATTCTGTACCCATGACTATATTTCTGCTTCCTGGAAAGTTGTAGCCATAGGAATGAAAAACTCACCAATCAGTTGTGGTCTTCCTGAGGCAAGTCAGTCACCTTCCTACTCTGGTATCTTCCATGGCTACCAGCTGGCCACAGAACCAAGCACTGACTCACCAGCCTCCAGTCTGGTTCCTTTTCAGCCTTTTTGCCACCCCTACAGCCCATACTACATCATCCATTCTGGCCATCTCAGATTCTTCCTTGCTAGCTCCCACCTTTCCCTGCATCCAGTCCTCTGTACTATTTCATCTATTTGAACACTCTTTTCTCCCTGCATCCTGGGTCTCCATTCAAATCTTCCTCTTCCCTGGAAGTACAGCTTCAGTGGTTAACATCACAAAGCAAAGCTGACTTCAGCAAACTTTCCAAGACAACCAGGGACCAACACAGTTCAGATTAAAGGGGATAAATAAAGTGGCTTTAAGATCACTTGTAGTTCAGAGGTCACCCAGGGGATTAGGATCTATGCAGAGACCTGCAGAGCCACGCTGCTTCCCCAAGGGACCCCCTTCATGCTGCTGGAACTTGCCCTACCCCTCAGGAGAAACTGGGCTGCTGTAGCTGCGTCACGCAGGCGGCTGTGGGCCAGCCCGGAGCAAAACTGTGTTGCTTGGCATTTCTCCACTTCCTCTCGTGGCCGACGTCATTCTGTGACTGTGCAGGGATTCATGCTCGCCATTGCACTCCACAGTGAGATACTTGAATTGATTTAAAATTTATTCACCCCAGTGTTCACTCCCACCTTAGCCCCATTCCATGCGCCCTTACCCTTACTCATCGCAGTATCAAAATAACTCCCAAATGGGATTGCTGTGCTTGAACACCTCCCATCATGCCTCTTACCTTCTGCATGCATTTAGTTAGTTCCTGAAGCATACAGCCCCCTCACCTGCAAGCCCCGCCTCAGCGCACACCCTTGCCAGGTTGGAGGAAGTCCTGGTACCCGGAGCAGTTTGCTTTGTTTTTGCAGTGTCAGTGATCTCACAAGCACTTGGTTGGCCACACAGTCCTATCGATAACTTCCAGCAGATAACCCAAGTGGGTGACTGGGGGGTGGAAGCCAGGTCTCGGTTCCTGTGTGTGACCCAAGGCCCCCCAGCACAGGGCCCACCCTCTCATCTGGCTCAGCCAGGTCTTGCAGAATGGGCTCTGCTGAGATCTAACCAGACACATTTGCTATCTGTTAGGTGAGCTCATTCCTGGAACCTAGCAGGTATTCCGTTCATGGCTGACTCTCAAGGGAATGAAGGGAAAAGGAAGAGCGGGTCTGAGATCCTTTGGATTATCTTTACGAAGCAAAAGCTTCTGTGAACTGTGATCTTCAGAACGAATGCTGGGCCTATCCAGGTCTGTCCGCAGTACCCAAAGTCGTAGCTCCGTGATGAGCTATGATGTAGCCCAGCCACACTCAGTGACGGCTCCTGGTTCCTCACTTGCCAGGGCAGCTTCAGTTCCTGCCGCGGTGTCAGTGCAGATTGATTCCCGCTGCGTTACTGAACGAACTCCTGACCCTGGGCTCTGAGCTGATGAGCTGGCTCCAGAAGGTGTTAATCATCATCACTCAGGTGTGCTGTCCTCACAGAGTCCTGGTGCACCTGGGATCCCAGTAGCTCCACATTTTCTTTGCTGCCTTCGAGGTTCACATCTTCAGGGTCCCACTATGGAGAAAAGATGCAAAGGGTAGCTGGGTGGAACGGATAGATGCTTCTCATCTGTCATAACCCCTGACCCAAACAAAAGCTCCAATCTTGGTTCTCATGATCCAGGCACAGACAAGGACAAAAGGGTAAGGACAAGTTACCCAGGCCTGTGTTTCTGGGACCTAAGGAGGCAAGCATAACTTTACATCAAGCAACTAATGAACAACCACCCTAAACATAACAGCTTCACTTTCCTTCCCGCCCTCATTCTCCACTCTTCTCTGCCTCTACCAAGTCCTTATCTAGTGACACTGAGTCATGTTCTCCTTATCCTGACTCCATGCCTAACTCATTCCTGGAAAAAACCAGGCAAACTTAATCCTTTTTTATTTTTTTAAGACAGGGTCTTGCGGTGTCACCCAGGCTAGAGTACAGTGGTGCAATCATAGCTCACTGCTGCCTCAAACTCCTAGACTCAAGCAATCCTCCTGCTTCAGCCTCCCGAGTAGCTGGGACTACAGGTGTGTACCACAATGCCTGGCTAAGTTTTTAATTTTTAGTAGAGATAAAGTCTTGCAATGTTGCCCAGGCTGATCTCGAACTCCTGGACCTAAGCAGTCCTCCCGCCTCAGCCTCCCAAAGTGCTCAGCTTACAGGCTTGAGCCACCATGCCCAGCTTCAACCTATTCTTTATGGGCCAGGTAAATACCTCTTCCCCCAGGAAGCCTACCTTGACCGTGTTAGCCCATTGAGCTCTCACCTGCCTTTCTCTTTGTATTACCTATTCCACTGATTTGCCCCTGAGCACGGACAGCCCTGGCGTTTATGCGGACATCTGCCTTGTTGTCTCAGGTAGATGATGGGCTCCACGGGAACAGAGCAAACGTTCGCTCCTGCTCCTACACGGTGTTTCCTCTAAACCTGAGGCTCAGCCGACTTGTCATCACTTAAAACCCAATTCAGAGCGGGGGGGCACTGCCAGTGAATAGTTCATCACCGACTCAGGTGGGTTTGGGAAGTTGAAATTTGCAGGGGTGAGTGACGGGTTAATACAAGTGGGCACAGAAGCATTGACAAAGCTGTCTGTGAAGCCCTCCTGCTGTTCTAAGATGATGGATTAGAGCCCAAGGGGATCCTTGGTGTTACCTTTGAGGTTCCAGCCATGGAGGCAAGTAGGGATTGGGCTCCAGTTCTCCTCCTGTCACTAATTTGCCTTCGTTTTTGGGGCCTCAGTTTCCCCATGTGTATGCTGTGGTATTGGATCAGCAACGAGATAAGAAGATCTCTCCCATTTCCAAGCGTCTATGATGATTCTGAGGCACAAGGTCACATTTGACAGTACTAGGAAACCCAGGAAACAAGAAGCAAAGATGACAAAGGCTGTGTCTGCCTGGGCAGACGATCTATTTGGACAAGATAATAGACCCAGGCATGGACATGCTCTCCAAGAAAGATGCCCTGACAGCTGCTCACACTGAAGCTGAATCGAACATTCCAATCCTTAGAGGTTCCAGCGAAGATCTTGAAGTCTCCCTGAGCCATTGACACAATGGCCATGCCATCCCAGTGATAAAACACAAATTGTGGCCTTGTTTTGGACAGAAATAAAGAGCCCAGTTTGTTAGTGATTTACTGATAATAACTGAATCGAGTACTAATACTTGGCGATTTTAAAAGCCATCATGTTAAAAAGACCACCTGATTCCCAGTGACCCTGCAGTGACTGGGTTTGGGCAGCTCGTCCCCTGCACCTGTTTGGGGCTGTGCCAGCCACTTCCAGTGAGAACATCGCATTAACTTGCGGTCGCAGACCTGGCTGGACCCCTTGAACCAAATTCCTTTCTGACCTTATCAGACCCCAAATAAAAGAGCTCACCAGGCCCCTCAGCCTACGTGACCCACCTGCCCAGTGAAAAAAGTAGGGCCCTGTTCTGTTCTCTGAGGATGGTCAGTGTGCTCTTTGATGAAAACGGTTTCTAAGCTGAGGCCTGAGACCTAGATCATTGTTCTCACAGCGTGTGCTTGACCAGCCACACCAGAAGCACCCAGGCTGCTGGCTAAAAACACTGATGCTGGGGCCCACCCTAGCCCCTGGGTAGGGGGTAGAGACCTAAGGTTTGGCATTTTTACAAGCTCCTAGGGTGATTCTTAGATGCCCTGATGATTGAGAACCACTGCTCGAGCTTCTTAAATGGCTGCTGAAGAATGATTCTTGCCAACCGTGACCAGTTCAGCAGCCTGCAGACAGAAACCTGTCACTTTGATCAGGTGAGCTCTTTAAACTAGTACAGGCCGGGCACGGGGACTCACGCCTGTAATCTCAGCACTTTGGGAGACTGAGGCGGGCAGATCACCTAAGGTCAGGAGTTCAAGACCAGCCTGGCCAACATGGTGAAACCCCGTCTCTACCAAAAATACAAAAATTAGCCAAGTATAGTGGTGGGCGCCCGTAATCCCAGCTACTTGGGAGGCTGACACAAGAGAATCGCTTGAACCTGGGAGGCAGAGGTTGCAGTGAGCTGAGACTGTGTGATTGTACTCCAGCCTAGGCAACAAGAGCGAAACTCCATCTCAAGAAATAAATAAATAGGCTGGGTGTGGTGGCTCACGCCTGTAATCCCAACACTCTGGGAGGCTGAGGCGGGTGGATCACCTGAGGTCAGGAGTTCGAGACCAGCCTGGCCAACATGGTGAAACCCCATCTCTATTAAAAATACAAAAAATTAGCCAGGCATGGTGACAGGCGCCTATAATCCCAGCCACTTGGGAGGCTGAAGCAGGAGAATCGTTTGAACCCCGGAGGCGGAGGTTGCAGTGAGCCGAGATCACGCCACTGTACTCCAGCGTGGGCGACAAGAGTGAAATTCTGTCTCAAAAAATAAATAAATACATAAATAAGTAAGTAAAAATAAAGTGGTACAAATCTTAGAAAACATTTAGAATCTATTTTTTCTGACTCTCCAGAATAATGTGTTTTAAAACTTCATTATTTATTTATTTATTTATTTTGAGACAGAGTCTCACTCCATCACCCAGGCTGGAGGCATGATCTGGGCTCACTGCAACCTCTGCCTCCTGGGTTCAAGTGATTCTCCTGCCTTAGTATCCTGAGTAGCTGGGACCACAGGTACACACCACCACACCTGGCTAATTTTTGTATTTTTAGTAGAGATGGGGATCTCGCCACGTTGGCCAGACTGGTCTCCAACTCCTGACCTCAGGTGATCCGCCCCCCTCAGCCTTCCAAAGTGTTGGGATTACAGGTGTGAGCCAACGTGCCCGGCCTAAAAACTTCATTTTATAATAAAATCATTGGGCCAGGCGTGGTGGCTCACGCCTGTAATCCCAGCACTTTGGGAGGCCGAGGCGGGTGGATCATGAGGTCAGGAGATCGAGACCATCCTGGCTAACAAGGTGAAACCCCGTCTCTACTAAAAATACAAAAAATTAGCCGGGCGCGGTGGCGGGCGCCTGTAGTCCCAGCTACTCGGGAGGCTGAGGCAGGAGAATGGCATGAACCCAGGAGGCGGAGCTTGCAGTGAGCCGAGATCGCACCACTGCAGTCCGCAGTCCGGCCTGGGCGACAGAGCGAGACTCCGTCTCAAAAAAAAAAAAAAAAAAATCATTGCTGGAAACCAGGCATGAAGAGAATCTGAGCAAAAGATCCATTTTCATATCAGAAACAATCCTGGGAGATGACAGGCACAGGTAGTTGTCACAAAACATGCCTGTCACTTGGAGGCAAGGGTGGCATGGAGACAGCAGCCAGCTGCCCAGGGTCCCAGAATGACAATGTCTGGAACTGTTTATTGCAACAGCTACTGCAGCCATGCCGGCCACTACTACTGTTGTTCCAAACCATGTTTCTTCACTGGGTTACACGTCTTCTTGGAGTCCCTATTACTTGGGCTTACCTGAATACCCCCAAAGCAGAAAGAACTCTGACCTGAGAGAGCCCTGAAAATCCCATTCATCCTCAGTCTTGCCTCTCATTTTGACTTTTTTTTTTTTGAGATGGAGTTTCACTCTTGTTGCCCAGGCTGGAGTGCAATGGTGCAATCTCGGCTCACTGCAACCTTCATCTCCCAGGTTCAAGCGATTCACTTGCCTCAGCCCCTGAGTAGCTGGGATTACAGGCATGTGACACCATGCCCGGCTAATTTTGTATCTTTAGTAGAGACAGGGTTTCACCATGTTGGCCAGGCTGGTCTTGAACTCCTGACCTCAGGTGATCGCCCACCTCGGCCTCCCAAAGTGCTAGGATTACAGGTGTGAGCCACCGCGCCTGGCCTGACATTCTTTTTTTACTGAAGGAATTTGTCATGGGTCTAGCCATCTAACAAGGTCTAACAAAAACAGGAACTGAAATCAAGCCATAGGAAGTCCCTCCTGGAAGAGAAAGAGCATGATCGTCCATACCTGCTCCGAGTTTAGGGCCTCCCAATACTTCTGCTGCAGAATAAAAAGAGAGACAGAAAAAGTGTTGGACAGATTTTGCCACCATCCCACAGCAGAGCAGAGCTCAGGACCAGCTCCTGTCTGCTCAGTGAGCCAGGAGACAGGCCCTTAGATGGTTGGGGGCAAAGGAACAGGTGACTTCAGCAAGCAGGAAGGCAGCAGCTACTAGCAGTTACAATTTAGTTAAATGATCAATGAGATAGTTATGATAATTATGAAGGGCTGCACGTCCTGGGAAAAATTACAATCTATCAAGATTTAAAAATTACTATTAGTAGAAATTATTATTATTATTAGGAGGAGTAGCAGTAATAATAATAAATCTCCCATTTATTAACCACATGGCTGAGATGATTCAACTCAAACCCATAAAACTGAGATGCCAATAAAATTCCTGCCTTGCAAATATGGGGTATTTGCTACCAGCCAAGATTCATTTGTAGTCAGTGTTTACTGCATGGTTGGTTCCACTCCAAACCTCAAATATGTCTGACTCAAGTTCTTGCAGGGCAGGCATCACGTCTGCCCTTGTTACTCCAGCACCTCCTGCAGCGCCTGGGAAACATATGTTTCTGACATGAGCTAAGAATCTATGAATATCTGTTACATTGATCTGGGAATGTCTATTAAATTAAATAGCAGGCAGTCCGAGCAGTCCACAGGATTTAGGGTTATTATCACATTAAAACAAAAGCATGTTCAACTCCTTAACATTTTTCATTAAAAAAAATCAATTAATTAATTTTTTTGAGAGAGGGGCTTGCTCTGTCGCCCAGGCTGTAGTGCAGTGGCATGGTCATAGCCCACTGCTGCCTCCATCTCCTGGGCTCAACTGATCTTCCTGCCTCAGACTCCTGAGTAGCTGGGACTACAGGTGTGTACCACCATGCCTGGCTGACATTTATTTTATTTTTTTAGTGGAGATGAGGTCTATGGTGCCCAGGCTGGTCTTGAACTCCTGAGCTCAAGCAATCCTCCCACCCTGGCCACCCAAAATGCTGGGATTACAGGCATGAGCCACAGCACCTGGCCTAATTTTCTATCTATCTATCTATCTATCTATCTATCTATCTATCTATCTATCTATATCTATCTATCTGTGTATGATGGAGTTTCACTCTTGTCACAGGCTGGAGTGTAATGGTACGATCTCGGCTCACTGCAATCTCTGCCTCCCAGGTTCAAGCAATTCTCCTGCCTCAGTCTCCTGAGTAGCTGGGATTACAGGCGCCCAGGACCATGCCCAGCTAATTTTGTATTTTTAGTAGAGATGGGGTTTCACCATGTTGGCCAGGCTGGTCTCGAACTCCTGGCCTCAAGTGATCAGCTTGCCTCAGCCTCCCAAAGTGCTAGGATTACAGGCATGAGCCACTGCTCCCAGCCAGGCGTAAATCATTTCATCCACAAATATTTCAAAATGTATCTCATAGATAAGGACTTAAAAAAAAAACCTAAGCACAATGCCATTATTATACCTAACAAAATTAGTGATAATTCCTTAGCATTCTTCATCTAACACTATCCTGCTGAGGGAACATAAACTGAAAAAAAAAAAAAGATTAATTGGAAGGGATACAAATTACTAAACTGATGGTTCCACACACTCTGGAAAAGACAGAAATGCCGATGATATAAAGGAGGGTTGAAAAAGTTAACTTAGCGAAAAAGTTTATTTAAAGCCAAGCAAACAAACAAGCAAATAAATAGGCTCGAGTCTCCCAGCTGTGCTGAAATGAAACCTTGAAACTTCCTTTACAAAGCTTAAATCTTCAGCGTTATGGGCAATCTAAAATTTAGGAAGAGCGCCCTCTAGTGGGAATAGTCAGTATTTTTAAAGTTACTTTATAAACCGCTAATGATAGTGTGCCTAAGGAGTACAATTAACCCAAATCTTTGTAACTGAGGTCTCTCCTCAACCCCCCAGCCTAAAAATAAATAAAATTATATAGTCTTTTCCCTGTTTCAAGAGCAAATGTGTTCATTATAGAACATTTTTCAAAAAACAAAGATCTACCAAAATTCTATCCTTAGAAGAAGGCCTCTACAAAGATTAAATATGCCTCTGAAACATGTATGTATTATGTATAATATAATAAAAGCAAATGGCTTTTCTCCTTTAACATACAATGAGCATTTCCACTTGCCCTTAAAATCATCTTCAGAAACATGATTCTATCACCTCCTCAAACCACTGCATACGGCATTTTAATTTGCCTCATGTCTAAAAGCACATTTTTCCTTGCTTCTGAAATCTAGAAGCATCCTATAGCCTTTGTCTATATAGCATGTAGTAATGTTTCTTTAATTCTGGAAGAGTTTAGGATGTGTCTAAGTTACTGAGGAAATAGGGTCACTTTCTAGGTTTAAATTTTAGACTGTGGAAGCTGGATGGGGCCTCAGAAACCATTTGTCCAACTCTTTACTCTTACCTTTGGGGAGAAGTGACATCTCCACAGTCTTGGGGAGGTGAGATGGTGCTCGACTTCGGATGGATTGTAAAGTTTTAAGACTGGCCAGACATACACCAGCTTCAGTTCTCATTCTCTATTTTTTTTTTTTTTTTTGAGATGGAGTCTCACTCTGTTGCCCAGGCTCGAGTACAATGGCGTGATCTCAGCTCACTGCAACCTCCGCCTCCCGGGTCCAGGTGATTCTCCTGCCTCAGCCTCCTGAGTAGCTGGGATTACAGGCGTGCGCCACCATGCCAGGCTCATTTTTTGTATTTTTAGTAGAGATGGGATTTCACCATGTTGGTCAGGCTGGTCTCAAACTCCTGACCTTGTGATCTGCCCGCCTCAGCCTCCCAAAGTGCTGGGATTACAAGCGTGAGCCACCGCACCCGGCTGATGGTCTGTATTTCTTACCTGCTATATCTGACAGCCCTCCTCAGGATCATGAAAGGCTTCCTGGAGGAAGGGGGATTTAGACAGGACAGCGAAAGGTAGGAGAAGACAGATAGGCAGAGAAACGCAGAGAAGAGAAAGCTGGCTGGGTGCATGGGGAAGGACCTGCAAAGACGGCACAGATGGGGAGGCGTTCTGGAGCTCAGGCTTAGGAGCCTGGGCTTAAAAGTGTAAGCAGCAAGGCGCCCAGAAGGCCTCAAGCAGGGAAGCATCGGGCTGGGGTCGAGTGTTGGAAAATCCTGCTGTATTCCCTGCAGGACGGAAATGAAAGGAGGCAGAGCGCGCCTGCATCGCAATCAGGAGCTCCTGCCCCAGTCCAGGAGGAAGTAACGAGGCTCTTACCTGGATTTGGGGAGGCGGATTGGAAATGCCTCTAGAGACTAAGAGTACAGAAGTTTTCCAGAGTGGTTTCTGCGCAGACAGCAGCCTGCCCTGCTATGCTACCAAGATTCATTCACACATTTTGCTGGTGGTTTACTTTTCTGTTTTCCTGATGGAAGCTTTTCTGTGTGTAAGAAGTGACTCAGTGCTGGGTGCGGCGGCTCACACCTGTAATCCCAGCCCTTTGGGAGGCTGAGGCGGGCAGATCACCTGAGATCGGGAGTTCAAGACCAGCCTGACCAACAGGGAGAAACCCCATCTCTACTAAAAATACAAAATTAGCCAGGCGTGGTGGCGCATGCCTGTAATCTCAGCTACTCGGGAGGCTGAGGCAGGAAAATCACTTGAACCCGGGAGGTGGAGGTTGCGGAGGTTGCAAGACTCCGTCTCAAAAGCCCCTATGTGCATCTGACTCCTGGGTCAAGGTTCTTTCCCCTGCACAGCCCGTTTCCCTTTGGGGCCCAGTGAAGCATCTTTCTCATGCATACTTTTTTCCCAGAACGAATGATTTGGCTTTAAAAAGGGCAGACATCCAGGGGAATATGCCCTTATCTGCTGGTGCCAGAAAGTTTGGAGAGAGAACAAGCAGTTGGGTTATCAAGAGCCTTAGGCACAGAATTAATAGGAACACACGGGCCTGGGACTTGGCCCTCTTCAGACAGAGCAATCTGGCATTTAGCACTGTTCTCATGGCCCACACAGGTACACCCACACATGGGCATGCGTGCACACACCCACATGCACACGCACACCCACACAGGACTGCACTGGCTCCAGGCACAGGCGTTCTTCACTATGCAGACTTTGTTCCAATGACAGAAACAGCCTCCTTGCAGAATTCCTATAAAGCTTATACCCCGTCTCTTGCAATGCTGGGAAGCACAGAAGGGAAAAATTGACTGGATGCTGTCTATAAATGTACTTTTGTCACAAAGGTGGACTGAACCTTTTCTTGAATCCCAGGGGCTAAAGAAAAAGAAAGAAAGAAAAGGAAGCCTTTAAAAGGTATAGGAGGCTGGGCACGGTGGCTCCCGCCTGTAATCCCAGCACCTTGGGAGGCTGAGGCAGGTGGATGACCTGAGGTCAGGAGTTCATGACCATCCTGGCCAACATGGTGAAACCCCATCTCTACTAAAAATACAAAAAATTAGCTGGGTGTGGTGGCAGGTGCCTGTAGTCCCAGCTACTTGGGAGGCTAAAGCAGGAGAATCGCTTGGACCTGGGAGGTGGAGGTTGCCCTGAGCCGAGATTGCGCCATTGCACTTAAACCTGGGTGACTCTGTCTCAAAAAAAAAAAAAAAAGAAAAAAGAAAAAAAAATAAATTCAACCTACAGGAGCAGTGAACTTCAGGCCTTCCACAGCATACGTGTTTGGTCCCGTCCCTGCTGTCACACATACCCCTGACCCATTTAGGTAAAAACAACAGTGAAATGGGATATCCTCAGCAGTTTCAATGCTGGGGGAAGTCAAGCCTGCATTTATAATATAGGTTCTGGCTGTCCCAGAAAGTGAGGGGTCACTCCCATAAGTCCTGCTCTCTCTGGGCCTCTGTCACCTACATGTAGACCCCAGGCACGGGACTCTGAGCTCAGGAATCTTTATTCAACATCTGTTCATTGTGCCCTTCGGATGGCTTTGCCAGGAGTGAGGCTGACGTTGTATTGAATGGGTGGGCTAGTAAATGAATGAATGGATGGATCCACAGTCTCCGTGGAGTATGCCGTCTGCTATGGAGTTGTACAGAAATCTGCACAGCCCAGGAAAAAGCCCTCTCTACACAGTTACTGGTCACACTGAGGCTCCCACATGACATGATTCGTCTGGTACCCTGACCAGTGCAGTCAAGTTCTCCCTCCACGCGAGCCCCACATGCCCACGGTCCTGTCTGTCTCAGCCGTCTCCTGTTCTGACACTCCTTGAGAACAGAGTCAGAGCACAGCTGGAGTGAAAAGACACCTGGGCAGAGGGTCCGTTTTCTCGTCTGTAAAATGGGAATAATGGATAATAAACATGCTCCTGCACACCTTCCCGGGTACCAGTCTCTGCCGAGGCAGTGGAGTGCAGTGGTTAATAAAGAGAGGCTTCAGAGCAGACAGAACTGGGTTCAAACCCCAGCCCTGCCACTTCTTCTTATCACCATTATTATGTTTTCTTAGGTAAGTGACTTAAACTTACCTAGTCCCAGTCTCCTGACTCAGGCTGTTAAGGCAAACGGTGCTGGGAAGCGATAGCCCACACCATGCCTAGCATAGTCACTGTTCGCAGTGAGCACCGCTTTTCTTGTTAATGGATTTCAAACACTTTATGAACTGGAGTGCTGGGGTTACCACGGCGTGTTGAGGCACCACTCAATTCTCCACTTCCCCTAGCGTACCGCAAGAAGTATTCAAAACAGTCGGTCCATGCCCCAAGAACTTGGACATAAAACCACCACCGCATCCCAGAGTTAAGGTGCCAAATCAGAAAGGACCATAGATAAGGTAAACACGTCACCTTAAAGACACAGAGTGGCTCCCAGGCCCACAGGCCCCGACAGTGGGAGTCAGAGAGCGTTCACTCATCAACCCAAGGGATCAAACGGAAGCCGAGTTGGTGAGTAACAGACAGACAACGGGAGGTGGCTGAGGGAACCGCAGCCAGCCTTGGCAGCCAGGCCAGGGGCAGTCCAAGAGCAGAGACAGACACCCTGGGTGGTCTGAGCCCAACGCCATGAAATATTTGAATTATGCAATTCTCTTGGGAGCAAAAGAAGTCACGAACCAGAGGAAGTGAGGACGTAAGGCCCTGACATCAATCTTATGCTCTGTCTCTCCAGGGTATGGTCCGGAAGAGTAAGGCGGGGGACCAGACTCTCAACTGTGACTGGTTTACCAAGTGCCTGCCACCCTATGCGGTGGGCTGGGGCCAGTCTATTGGTCCCTCACGGATGTTTCCTTCAAAATCCCACTGGCAGAAAATGTGCGCTGCATGAGTGATCCAACAGCCAGGCGAAGTGTGGTGACACTTCACCTGCTCAAAGACACCGCCTCGCCCACCTTCGGCCGCAGACGAACCAGGATCTTCAAGGAATATTGCTTCAAGCAAATAGGGGGGCATGTCAGGCCGGCCCAACCTCACCACCTGGAGGCGGCCATTGGTTGGTAGGCTTGAGGGTTAATTTCAATTTTCTTCTTCACATTTTTTACACTTCGCAAATTTTCTTTTCATTTTCTTTTTCTTTTCTTTTTTTTTTTTTTTTGAGACAGAGTCTCGTTCTATTGTCCAGGCTGGAATGCGGTGGCTTGATCTTGACTCACTGCAACCTCCGCCTCCCGGGTTCAAGTGATTCTCCTGCCTCAGCCTCCTGAGTAGCTGGGATTACAGGCACGTGCCACTGCGCCTGGCTAATTTTTGTTTCTTGGGTTATTTTTTTGAGATGCAGTTTTGCTCTTGTTGCCCAGGCTAGAGTGCAATGGCTCGATCTCGGCTCACTGCAACCTCCGCCTCCCGAGTTCAAGTGATTCTCCTATCTCAGCCTCCCGAGTAGCTGGGATTACAGGCATGCGCCACCATACCCGGCTAATTTTTGTATTTTTAGTTGAGATGGGGTTTGACCATGTTGTTCAGGCTGGTCTTGAACTCCTGACCTCAGGTAATCCACCCGCCTCAGCCTCCCAAAGTGCTGGGATTACAGGTGTGAGCCACCAAGCCCAGCCCCTTTTCCAAATTTTCTACCAAAACATTTATTTTTGTTTTGTTTTGTTTTCAGACAGGGTCTCACTCTGATGCCCAGGCTGGAGTGCAGTGGCACAATCTCAGCTCACTGCAACCTCCGCCTTCCGGGCTCAAGCAATCTTCCCACCTCAGTCTCCCAAGTAGCTGGGACTATGGGCTTGTACCACTACGCCAAGCTAATTTTTAAAATTTTTATTTTCAGTAGAGACGGGGTTTGTATTTTTAGTAGAGACAGGGTTTCACCATGTTGTCCAGGCTGGTCTTGAACTCCTGAGCTCAGGCAATCCACCTGTCTCGGCCTGTCTCTGCCTCCTAAAGTGCTGGGATTACAGGCGTGAGCCACCATGCCCAGCCCAGAAACATTTATTACTTTTAAGAACAGAAAATAGGCTGGGCAAGGTGGCTCACGCCTGTAATCCCAGCACTTTGGGAGGCTGAGGTGGGCAGGTCACGAGGTCAGGAGATCGTGACCATCTTGGCCAACATGGTGAAACCTCATCTCTACTAAAATATTAAAAAAAAATTAGCCAGGCATGGTGGTGCATGCCTATAGTCCCAGATACTCAGGAGGCTGAGGCAGGGGAATCGCTTGAACCTGGGAGGCGGAGATTGCAGTGAGCCGAGACTGCGCCACGGCACTCCAGCCTGGTGACAGAGCAAGACTCCGTCTCAAAAAGAAAAAAAAGAAGAAGAAGAAGAACAGAAAATATAGATTACCAGAAGGACCAGGGGATCACACACCTGAAAAAAGATTTCTTGCTCATTTGTTGTAAGTCTATATTCAGTCTATATTTGAAACTTTACAATCCTGTTTGACCTGCTATTATCTATGTTGAGTTTGGTATTAAGCTATCTCTTTACAGGACCTCAGCGGCTTTGTCATTTGTATTATCTGTATGTTTTAGGGCATGAAGGAGGAAGACTGTGGTGGGAGGTGGGTGAGGGTTATGCGGAGGGAGGCTGCAGCTGCTGAACTTCTAAAAATATATTCCTTTTGCATGGGCAAAAGCGTTCATTTCCACTTGCTTAATTTAAGTATGTGACCCTGTCTTCTTGGAATTTACTTGTTTGTTTTTTTTTTTTGAGGTGGAGTTTCACTCTTTCACCCAGCCTGGAGTGAAGTGGCGTGATCTCGGCTCACTGCAATCTCCGCCCCTCCGGGTTCAAACGATTCTCCTGCCCAGTAGTAGCTGGGATTACAGGCACCCGCCACCACGCCTGGCTAATTTTCTTTTTTTTTTTTGAGATGGAGTTTCGCTCTCGCTGCCCAGGCTGGAGTGCAATGGCATGATCTCTGCTTACCGAAACCTCCGCCTCCTGGGTTCAAGCAATTCTCCCGCCTCAGCCTCCCAAGTAGCTGGGATTACAGGCATGCGCCACCACGCCTGGCTAATTTTATATTTTTAGTAGAGACTGGGTTTCTCCATGTTGGTCAGGCTGGTCTCGAACTCCGATCTCAGATGATCCGCCCACCTTGGCCTCCCAAAGTACTGGGATTACAGGCGTGAGCCACCCCGCCTGGCCATGCCAGGCTAATTTTTGTATTTTTAGTAGAGACGGGGTTTCGCCACGTTCGCCAGGCTGGTCTCAAACTTCTGACCTCAGGTGATCCACCCGCCTCTGCCTCCCAAAAAGTGCTAGGATTACAGGCATGAGCCACTGTGCCTGGCCGGAATTTACATATTTTTAACAATCGATTTCTAGAAAAGAGAGAGATAAGAGTAGAGAAAGAACAAAGACTGAAAAACAAGAAAACAGCCCAAATCAGCCATAAGGACAGATTTCTGAATTTTTCAAGTTCACCGTGCAGTCCTTACCTCAACTGAGGGTGGGCGGCAAGAGTCAACCTTGTTTCCACAGAACAAATGTTGCTTCTCCCTCCCCGTCGCCATCCCTGAGTCACCAACTTCACTGTCCCTGCTCACTGAATGCACTCTGCCATCATGCTCACTCCGGTCCCCTTTAGCCTTAGATCTCCGCCAAGACTGCTGGCTCCAGGCTGCCAGCCACGTGCCTTGGGTACCCTACAAATTCTGAGACCGGATCCAAGAACCACACAACACAGAATGATACAGGAATATGAACCCAAAGGATGCAGAGTCCCTAACTCAAACCCAGCCCTCAGGGGCCAGCTGTGCTCCAGGGTGCAGGGACAGAGAGACGCAAAGGCAACCCAGGCCGCTGTGGCTCCTGGGGCACACGGCCAGCAGTGGAAGTGGTGTCAGAAAGGTATGTGCTCTAGGCTGGGTGAGGTGGCTCACGCCTGTAATCCCAGCACTTTGGGAGGCCGAGGTGGGTGGATCACCTGAGGTCAGGAGTTCAAGACCAGCCTGGCCAACATGGTGAAACCTCATCTTTACTAAAAATACAAAAATTAGCCGGGCGTGGTGGTGGGCACCTGTAATCCTAGCTGCTGGGGAGGCTGAGGCACCAGAATCTCTTGAACCCGGGAGGCGGAGGTTGCAGTGAGCTGAGATCGCGTCACTGCACTCCAGCCTGGGTGACAGAGCGAGAACTCCTTCTCAAAAAAAAAAAAGAAGGAAAGAAAGGTACGTGCTCTGGGCACTCAGAGGAAGGAGCCGCTAGCCTCTGGGTCAGATTCTGACCTGTGGCGAAAGGGCCAGAGAAGAGTCCGTGGCCAGGTAGTGCTCCCGGTGAGGGGAGGGGGTGTGTGAGGCCGGGCAGGCTGTGAAAGGCCTGGACTGCCACCCTGAGGAATCCAGACTTCATCCCAGTCAGTGGTTCTGAGTTTCAGATTTCAAGGGTCAGTTTAAGTTCAACCAATCTAGGGGACTTACAATGGCTAATTGATTATTTTGCCAAATAAGGCCAATTAAAACCCAAACCAAAAACTCAACACCAACTACTGCTTACTATTACCATTCTTTCCTAAAAGGGCATTTAACACCAAAACAGTTGGGAGGACACAAACTCATAACGGAAGACAGTCCTCTCCCCGCACCAAAAGACAGCTGGCAATTGTCTACTGACATACAAGCGGCCGCTACATTGTCCTTGTGGTTCTCATTTTTCCACAGACAGATGGAAACCTCCTCGCTGAATGGGGCTGGGAACCACAGCGGTGGGACCAAGAGAGAGAACAGCTCAGACCTGAGAGTTACGCCTGTGTGTGATCCAAGCTGTGACGTGTGTTTTATTCACAGACATAAAAGCTCAAAATGAGGTAAAGTTTATACAGGTGTCAGCCGTGGTGCCCACGACAGGGCCCACTTGTGTATGGCCCCACTAACACAGCAGGATGTAGCTGGTGCTCCTCGGGGGGAGAAAAGCTCCCATGGGCAAATCAGTTTGAGAAGCACTGAGACTTTTTTTTTTTTAGATGGAGTCTCGCTCTGTTGGCTAAGCTGGAGTGCAGTGGCATGATCTTGGCTCACTGTAATTTCCACCTCCCGGGTTCAAGTGATTCTCATGCCTCAGCCTCCCAAGTAGCTGGGATTACAGGTGCGAACCACCACGCCTGGCTAATTTTTGTGTTTTTAGTAGAGACAGGGTTTCTCCATGTTGGCCAGGCTGGTCTTGAACTCCTGATCTCAGGTGATCTGCCTGCCTTGGCCTCTCAAAGTGCTGGGATTACAGGCGTGAGCCACCACACCCAGCCAACACCAAGACTTTAAAAAATGTATTGTTCATTCATTCATCACTCAAGTGATCGGTGAAGACCGGGCCCCAATATGCAGTGTCCCTGCGACTAATGTGACCGTGGAAACCTCTTGTTGGTACTGACACACAGGGTAGGGGCCCCACGGAAGTTCATTTTTTTTTTGTTTTTTTTGAGACGGAGTCTCGTTCTGTTGCCCAGACTAAAGTGCAATGGCGCAATCTCGGCTCACTGCAACCTCTGCCTCCCAGGTTCAAGAGATTCTCCTGCCTTCGCCTCCTGGGTAGCTGGGATAACAGGTGGCCGCCACTACACCCGGCTAATTTTTGTATTTTTAGTAGAGATAAGGTTTTGCCATGTTGGCCAGGCTGGTCTCAAACTCCTGACCTCAGGTGATCCACCTGCCTCAGGCTCCCCAAGTGCTGCAATTACAGGTGTGAGCCACCGCGCCTGGCCTCATTCATTATTTAGCAGGTATGAGGTTAACGTGGATAAGATGAGAACAGCTGCACAAGCCCCAAGGAGCACCCAGCAAGTGTCGGCGAACGATGGCACCCACGCACCCGCCCAGCAGGCAACAGCCGTGTACCTCCAGGTCGGAGTTGATGGAGGAGACCTCAGAGGAGCTGCCGGAAGACACCCGGGCCCGGATGACCTGAACGGGAGGGTACGACGGGGGGTCCTGCAGGGACGCATCTCCGGCGCTCGTCTGCCCGTCACCTGGCAGCCTGGTGGCACTGCAGCCTGCCTGCAAGGTGTGTGAGAAAGGGCAGGCAAGGACACGTAGTTTAGTTTTGATGGTTGAATTGTCAAAGCATTCACATACTTCAGTGTTCAAAATGTACAAAAGGGTGTGCAGGGCAGCATCTACCTGTGCTCTCCTGCCCTGGCCATCCAGCTCTCCCCAGGGCAGCCAGTGCCCTGTGTCTTGTGTATCCCTCCAGATACTCTATACACATACAACCAAATCCACGTACACATATTTCCCCCGATTTCCAAAATGATAGCACACACTCCATTCTCTTAAGCACCTTGCTTTTTTTCACCTAACACTATGCCTTAGAGATAGTTCTGTATCAGAAGATTTGGGAGGTTTTTGGTAGCATTTCAGGTGTTCCCAGTCTATTAACCCATCCCCTACTAATGGGTGCTTAATGTGTTTCCAGTCTCTTGCTTTTGCAATCAATACTGACTGCAGTAAATTACACTGTACATCCAAGATTTCAGAGTAAAGGATAAATTCCCAGAGGCGGAATTGCTGGATTAAAGAGAGTATGTACATTTGAAATCTGTATAGCTACTGCTAAAAACGCACCCCATAGAGGCCTTCCTCATGCCCACCAGCAGGGGATGAAAGTGAGTTGGGATGAAATAGGAAGGTTTAAGGTAGAAAGAAACTTGTGAGATTTTCTATGTATCTATGTATCTATCTATGTATCTATCTATGTATGTATCTATCTATGTATCTATTTATGTATCTGTCTATCTACCAATCTATCTATCTGTCTCAGACCAAAGCTTCCCCCCATGGGCTCATGGGGACTCCTCAGAGATCTACAAAGCTCCACCAGCTGAACTTTTGAAGTCCTGCAGGATTCACATCATTCCACTGACACGTGACAGAGCAGACAACCTGCTTTCCAGACCAGCATCTTCCACTAATTAACCATGTGATCTAATGTATTAGTTTGTTTTCATGCTGCTGACAAAGACATACCCAAGACTGGGAAGAAGAAGAGGTTTAATGGACTTACAGTTCCACATGGCTGGGGAGGCCTCACAATCACGGCAGAAGGCAAAGGAGGAGCAAGTCACGTCTTACATGGATGGCAGCAGGCAAAGAGAGAGCTTGTGTAGGGGAGCTCCTCTTTATAAAACCATCAGATCTCGTGAGACTAATTCACTGTCACGAGAACAGCACGGGAAAGACTTGACCCCATAATTCAATTACCTCCCACTGGGTCCCTCCCACAACACGTGGGAATTCAAGATGAGATTTGCGTGGGGACACATCCAAACCACATCACCTAAGAAAGAAAGTTGTCCTCTCTGAGTCTCAGTTTCCTCATCTATAAAAGGGGATGATAATCCCTGCTTTGCCTCCAGTGAGGGGGTGTCATGGGGCTCAGATGTAAATGCCTGGGACACATGAGGAGAATGGCTATGAGTACTCGACCCAAATCCAGCGGGGCTTCAGCCCTTGATGGGTTAGGTGCACAAGCTCCTGTCAGAGTCAGGTGGACTGGCAGAGAAAATCCACAAGAGAAACAAAGGCAGCATTCTGGAAGCAGGAACACAGGTGAGGGGCCACCCTGCTTCCCAGCTGGGAAGGATGCTGAAACAGAAGGCTCTGGATGGGAGTGGGGAAGCAGATGCCTCCCAGGAACAACAATGACAAATTCTATAAATGCCCAAGGCCTGACCACACCTGCGTCAAAAGATAAAACAGAATTTTCAAACACTCCAAGCCGAGGATGCAGGATTTGATCCATATGGCCCCATGGGACCCCTCTGCCCCTCTGGAGGCTCAGCCTGAACCACAGTGCTGCTCCCGCTGCGTCTCCTGGAAAATCGCTCCTTAGGACCAGTGCTCAGGGGGCTTGCTGGGAAAACAAGGGAGCACCTCTGCAGCTCTCCTTACCCATTTCCAGATGGCCCTTCTAATGGGATATGTATCAGTGGACACGGCCAACAGGGTGCCTGTTTCCCCACAGTCTTGCCCATTGGGATATTCACATTACAACAGTGTTTAAAACTGCTAACCGAGCAGGTACAAAGCGGCAGCACAGAGAGCATATTCTCTTCATAAAAGCCCAGGTCCCTGAATCGGGCAGGCTTAGTTTGAATCCTCTTTCTGTGATTTTTCTAACTGTAGGATCTTGGGCAAGTTACTTAACCTCTCTGTGCCTCAATTTAAAATAACATTATTAATTGTTAATAAAATAATAATAATAGATACAGGCCAGGCACGGTGGCTCACACCTGTAATCCCAGCACTTTGGGAGGCCGAGGCAGGCGGATCACTTGAGGTCAGGAGTTTGAGAACAGCCTGGACAACATGGCGAAACCCCTTCTCTACTAAAAATACACACACACAAAATAGCCAAGCATGGTGGCATATGCCCATAGTCTCAGTTATTTGGGAGGCTGAGGCATGAGAATCGAGAATCTCTTGAACACAGGAGGTGTGGGTCACAGTGAGCCGTGATTGTGCCACTGCACTCCAGCCTGGGCGACAGAGCGAGACTCTGCCTCAAAAAAAAAAAGGAAAGAATAAAAGAAAAAATAAAAATAAAACAAAATAGAAATAATAATAGTATCTCTCTGCTATGGTTTGGATGTGGTTTGTTTGGCCCCAGCGTGTCTCATGTTGAAATGTGATCCCAGTGTTGGAAGTGGGGCCTGGTGGGAGGTGTCTGGATCCTGGTGGAAGGGCCCTTCTGGTAAGTGAGCTCTCACTTTGTTCTGCAAGAACTGCTTGTTAGAAAGAGCCTGGCACCCCTTCCTCTCTCTCCTGCCATGTGAAGCCTGCTTGCCTTTGCCTTCCCCCATGAGTGGAGGCAGCCTGAGGCCTCACCAGTGCAGATGCTGGCACCACGTAAACATGCAGAACCACGAGCCACATAAACCTCTATTCTTTCTAAATTACCCAGCCTCAGGTGTTCCTTTATGGCAATGCAAAACACACTAGGATCCTTCCTCATACAGTTGTTGGGCTCATTTTTATTAACACTTACATGGTAAACAGTATTATTTTATTAATAATAAATCGCCATTTATCAAGTGTTTACTTGGTGTCATTATGCCAAGTACAAGGCTGTACAGCATAGAGGTCAATGGCACAAACTCGGGTAGAGACAGGTCTGAATCCGGTTCTATCACTGACAAACTGTGTGACCTTGAGCAGGTCACTTAACTGCTCCAGCCCCCAGTTTCCTTATCTGTAAAATGAGTATAATACTCAGGAGTCGGCTGTGGGGCAAGTTAATGTGTGTAAAGCACTTAGACCAGTACTCTGGCCCATAAGTACCACGTAAGTGTTGGCTGCTGTTGTTTACTCAGAGCCTGGCAAGTCCCTAACCCTCAGTAGACAGGCTATGATGGGAGGGGTGCCCCTAGTGCTGAGGGAGGCACCTGCCAGCCCAGCTGGACAGTGGGGCTCGGGGCTCCCTCTAGCCCTCTGATGGACACAGAAGGAAAAAGCTGGGTGGAAGCTCAAAGACGCACTTGTGGGCTTCAGTGGGAGGGAATGAAGGTGGAACACACTCTTCTTTCATGGAGTCTGTTCCCCAACAAGAATCCCTTCGACACTGAGCTACTGGAAGGGTTAAAGTGAATACAACTTTTACACATTCTCCTTCAGAAGTCCCATGATGTAGAACTTCCCAGTGCAAAGCTTTGGCCAGATGCTGCAGGAACTCCCGTGCCTTCCCAAGGGTTCCCCACACACCCTGCCTCCTCCCTCCCTTCGGAAGGATGGTTTAATGGCTGAAGTGGGCTCTTAGCTACAAAGGCATGCTCTGAATCTCTCTGAACTTCACTTAGGTCATACACAAGGTTCTGTGCACCCAGTATACAAGGAGCAACAACAGCAAACAGCAAAACCTCTCTCTCAGCCGAGTCTCTCCGGGCACCGGTGTGTCTGGGCAGCCTGGCAGGGGCCCTCACCACTGGACCATATATTCAAAACACACCTTTACTGAGAGCCCAGGACTGCAAGGTTATAGGCACCAGGAGTCAACGAGACAGGAGATAAAGTTTACATCTCAGCAGGACACAGACAAACCAAAGTAAAAGATCGTGATAAGTGCTTTGCAGAGAATTTCAATAGGTAATAAAATAGAGGAGAAGGACAGACGGGTCCTGCTTCGGACTGGGTGGTTAGGGAAGAGCTCTGGAGAAGCAGACATTTACGTTGAAGCTGGAAAGACAAGAAAGAGGCAGCTGTGAAAAATCAGGAGGGAGAGCATTCTGGGCAGAGGAATGGAGAGAAACTCTGTGCAGCTAGACAGGAGTGAACAGGAGACGAGAGATGGGGTCTCGCTATGTGGTCCAGGCTGGTCTCGAACTCCTGGCCTCAAGCGATACTCCTACCTCAGGTTCCCAAAGTATTAGGATTACAGGTGTGGGCCACCAAGAGCTCTGGCCCAGAGGAGTGTTTTAAACAAAGGAGGAACAAGATGTCATTTACATTTGTGAATGATCCCTCTGGCTGCTCGTTAGAGATGGGCAGGGCAGGACCACAGAAGAAGTGGAGAGGATGACAGCCAGGAGGCTGCTGGACTCAAGACCTAGTTTAAATAAGGAAGCATTTACAGGACTCTCAAAAGGAATGGATGGGCATGGGGGTGTGGCCAGGGAAAGAGGAATTTTGGGCTTGAACCACTGCAAAGACAGTGCGTCATTTACTAAGATGAGGAAGATGGGGAGAGGAGCCGGTCTGGGCATGGAAATCCAGAATTCTGTGTTGGACGAGGTAAGCGTGAGATGCCATATGGTGACAGCTGAATGGGCAGCTGGGCAGCCGAGATGGGAACTGAGGGGAGGGGAAAGGACGGAGACACGAATGGGGGAAGTCAGCAAGAACTGGTGTGCAGAGCGAGGGGACTGTGGGACTGCAGGGCCCACCAGGAGCAGGGAGCCTGCCTGGGACAGGGCGTTGGACTCCCTCTCTACAGTCAAGCTTACCCAGAGGAGCCAGCAGAGGCCGAGGGGAAAGAAGAGCCTGTGAGGGTGGCAGGAAACACAGAAGAGTGGGGGCCACAGACGCCAGGAGCAGCTGGTGGCCGAGTGCGTGGACTCTCAGAATGGAATGATGGTGGACTTAGCAGCTTGGAGGTCATCGGTGACCTCGACAAGACAGTCTTGGTGGAATAGTGGGACATGGGGTGAACTTCTCGTCACCTCTTTCCCAATTCTCTTCCTCCTGAGGACCCCTCGTGTAGGCCAGAACTCAGGGAGTCACCCGGAGCCCTGCCTCCCTCACCCGCACCTCCTCACCCCTCCAGCGCTCCACTTCCCAACTCGCTCAACTCTGTCTCTGCTTCTCCGTCTGCTCCAACCTCAGTTTAGGCCACACTTCCTTTTCCTCGGGCTTCCAACTGGCCCTGACTGACTGCTCGGCTGCTACTCTCCTCTCCCCCAGGCCACCCGCAACAACTTCCCCAGATGGCTCTAAAATGCACATCTGACCCTGAGTCTCCAGTACTCAAGCCTCCTGACTCCCATCACTCTCAAGATGATAGACACGGCCGGACGCAGTGGCTCACACCTGTAGTCCCAGCACTTTGGGAGGCCGAGGCCAGCAGATCACGAGGTCAAGAGATCGAGACCAGCCTGGCTAACATGGTGAAACCCCGTCTCTAGTAAAAATACAAAAATTAGCTGGGCGTGGTGGCAGGCTCCTGTAGTCTCAGTTTCTCTGGAGGCTGAGGTAGGAGAATCACTTGAACCCGGGGGGCTGCAGTGAGCTGAGATCATGCCACTGTACTCCAGCCTGGGCGACAGAGTGTCTCAAAAAAAAAAAAGAGAGAAAAAGATGATAGACTCCGTGTCTAAACGACCCGACCCCTGCCTCCTCCAGCCCTTTCATCTCCCCTCACTCCTAAATGGTACCAGCATATACCACCCCGAAATATGCCTCTTTAGCATATGGATTCCTTAGATCTAAAGGTCTTTGAAAACCAGCAGAAGCAGAAGCTATTAACCTCCCCTAACTGCCTGAAAAGAGAGTACACATTTTCCCTTTCATAAAGGAAATTTCCATTTGTAAAGATATTTCTGCACCAGGAAGAGAGCTACTTCCACCCGAGAGACTCTCACCTGCATAGCAAGAAAACCCTTATTTCCCACACAGGTCCTCCCTCACCTTGCCTCCCACCCCAGAACCCCAAACCTCTTTTTCTTGATTTAGCCTAATATGGTATATACGCCTCCATCAACTGGCCACCTCCTTGAGCCACATTTTTCTTTGTACATTTAAAGCTGTTTTTTCTTGTTACTCTGTGTTTCATCAGAGGGGACAGGGAAAATATTTTTCTCTCCAACACTCCCCCATATCTGCCCCTCCACTGCAGCCTTGGACAGCTCCTTCTTTTTTACCTGCTTCTCTTGTTTTCTCCTGCTCATCCCTCAGCTAAAGCATCACCTCCTCCAGGAAGCCTTCCATGACTGCTTCCCATCCTCTCAGACACCTGGCCATGACCGATGGCCACTCACCTGCTGCACAGGCTCGATGGTCAGCTCCATGTAGCGACTGATTGCTGTCATTGTCCTCAGTGACTTGCAGTGTGACAGTGTGGTGAGAGGCACCCAATCCAAATTCTTGCAAGTAGAGGCAGGGAGACAGAAAGGGGAATTCTCAAAGTCAGGAGGCATTTTCTAAAAACAAGGTCACATTTTATTCAAAAGGACCCCCGTGGTATTTTCTCTCTCTCTTTTTTAACGGCACGTCTCACTTTCTGCTTCCTATAAGATGTGTCTTATCTTTCTCTTCGAGGCCACAGTCATTTAGTGTTTCCCAAATTTTGCAACACAGTAGAATCAGCTAGGAATCTTTTTTATTTTATTTTATTTTTTGTAGAGACCAGTTTCACTGTACTGACCAGGTTGGTCTCAAAGTCCTGGGCTCAAGTGATCCACGAGTGATCCTCCCACCTCGGCCTCCCAAAGTGCTGGGATGACAGGCGTGAGCCACCACACCCGGCCTATTCTGCTTTTTAAGATCCCCAGCTGAGCAGCGATCTGGAGTGAAGCTGTGATCCAGGCACTGCATTCCAGCCTAGGGGACAGAGTGAGACCCTGTCGTACAAACAAAACAAAACAAGGAATGCCTACTTCCCACTTCCAGACATTCTGATTTCATGGGTATGAGA